>NC_000010.11:16676666-16828181 GCF_000001405.40 Homo sapiens | reverse complement strand
TTTTTTTAAAAAAAAGCTCCCTCTGTGACGTCAGTGCACTGCCTAGGGTTGAATACCCATGTTTATTTCTGCATAAATAGAACTGTAGAAAATTTGGACACGTGGCTCTATTTTATCTACTTCTTGCTGAAAATTGCAGAAATTATTTGAAGAAATGGTGACCGATAGTTTGTTTTTGTAAAGCTCTGATATCTTCCCTAAAAAAATCAGAATCTGACGTTGATTCAATATTGCAGGCATCTGTGCTTACGATCCTCTCATTTGATGTGCAAGTAGATACTTAAAGAGAGTAAGGGCTCACACCTGCAATCCCAACACTTTGGGAGGCCCAGGCAGGTGGATCACTTGAGCTCAGAAGTTTGAGACTAGACTGGCCAACATGGGGAAACCCCGTCTCTACTAAAAATACAAAAATTAGCTGGTATAGTGGCACACGCCTGTAATCCCAAGTACTCCGGAGGCTGAGGGAAAATAATTGCTTGAGCCAGGGAGGCGGAGGTTGCAGTGAGCCGAGATGGCGCCACTCCACTCCAGCCTGGGCGACAGAGCCAGACTCCATCTCAAAATAACAAGAGAGTAAGTAAGGGAAAATTGGCTGTTGGCAAGCGGGTATCTGTTTCTGATTTTTCTGCCCTTTAATCACTTAGACTTTGTAATCAAACTAGACAGAGAACTGTATCAGCTGGAAATCTAGATGGTTTTTAAAATATAACTTACTATTTATAAAATTGATAAATGCTGTTTTCAGAAGTATCAGAAAATAGGCTAATTTTTCTAAAACCCTGGGCATTCTCATATATTCTTAACACCTTTCTTTGAATATATTTGCATATATTTTACATGCATATTTTTTACTGTTTGATGGTGTGTTTTTTCTACTTACCAATATATCATTAGTAACATATCAATAAAAACACTGTTGCATCATATTTAAGTTTTGGAGAGTATTCCGTTGCACGAGTGTGGCCTAATTTATTTAATGAAGCCCCTCTAAGTGGACATTTAGGTCTCTTGAACTTTTTGCAACTACAGACAACACTTAATAAACTTTTTGGTAGTGATATCTTTATACATATAGTTACATTACTTGGTGAGAAATGGTAATCACAGGACCAGCAGACACTGTATCACGGGGATGCACAGAAGGCCCACAGAGAGAGAGACCCCAGTAAATGTGCCACACATCAGATTTAGAAGCTAATCAGCTCTTAGACATTGAATTGAAATTTACAAACATTTCAAAAGGGAGGAAAAGAGGCAATTTTAACAATACCATGACTTTATATTGGTAGGGGTTTTTTTGTGGGCATGGTTTTCAGTGGCTTGCAAACATACAACCCCATTTGATCCCCACAGTGACACTCCCATAAGGTGGAAAGAACAAGTATATCCTGGACTTGTATAAACCGAGTTCAGGTTTATACTGAACAAGTATAAACCGAGTCACTGAGAGAAGTGACGGCCATTTAATCCAATGCCACGTTAAGTTGAAGTATATAGCGAGATAACATCAATTTTTTTAACTGTTGGTGTTTACGGTATTTTCCCAGTTTTACATTTTTTTATAAATGTGGATATAATTTCATGTGTAATTGTTTTTTTTCTTAAAGGTACCACTGATTTCTTTAACACTTTATCAATGTTAAACATAAATGAAAAAATGTAAAACATAAGTATAAAACATGAAGTACAGAGGTAGCTCTTGTTTTGCTAATATTTACATACAACTTTTTGTAAGTTGTAATATTTTACTAATATTTACATACATACTTTCACATGTTACATACATACATATTTACATGCATAATTACATACATATGAAAGTTGTATACTTTTGTATGTATACTCCTTAAGTATACAATTCAACTTTTTATGTATGTAAATATGTTTGTTAAACTTGTAATATTTATATACATACAGTATTTAAATACATACAGTGTACATACAGAGGTAGCTCCTTATTTTGCTAATATAAACACAAACCCTGATTTGGAGATATTTTATATTACGGTAAATACCATTGTTCACAGGGAAATCCTATATCCCTTGCAGCTGCAGAAAATGAAGATCTAGCAAATGAGAGAATAACGGGACAAACAAGGAGAATCAAAGGAGATTCTAAAACTTCTGTTGACCGTCTGTTGACATACTAGTTTGTCAAAATAAAAGAAGTTATTGAAATTTGGAAGCAGATTAAAATGGGAGTAAAAAGTAGATGTGTATAGGAATAAAAATATTGTATATTCCTTGATGTATCTCTTACAGAAAAAAAAATCTACACTCACTTGAGTAAGTGAGTATCTTGGAAATAAGCCTGTGTTTTGATGACTTGGGGTAGGGCTGAGGCAGGAGAAGCCAGTCATGTAAGCATCATGAGAGCAGGGCTTTTTGCCTGTTTTGCTCATTTTTTAATGTCTTAATACCTGCAGCGTGGCAGTGCCTTGATCAATATTTGCCAAATGAATGAATAGAAAGTGAGAGACAACGGGGACCCATGTATCCCCCCAACACACACACACACACACACACACACACACACACACACACACACACTGTTCCACAGAAGTATATGAAAATAAATCTCAAGAGGAAAAACTATAAACACTGAGGATGAAAATACTATATTTTACTTAATAGGATCATTTTAATTATATATGTTTGTTTCAGAAAAATTAAATTTGCAGTAAGAACTTGAATAAGAAGTTCAAGTTTTTTGATAACAGTTTTATTGAGATACAATTTCAATACCATCCAATTCATCTCCTTAAAGTATACAATTCAGTGGTTTTTCGTAGGTTCACAGAGCTGTGCGGCCATTATCAGCACAGCCAATTTTGGGACACTTTCATTACCCCCCAAAGAAACCCAGTACCCATTTGCAGTCCTTCCCCATTTTCCCTCAACTCCCCACGCCCAGAAATATTCCTTTGTAAAGCATTTGCATTCATTCTTTGCAAGGTTACTTCAAGAAATATATGCAGGTTCACCATAAATTCTATAAAGTTTCTTTATGTGGTACTTTGTTACTAGGCTAACATTCCTAGAAAAACGTTCAAATATGTGAAATATATAATTGGATACTTTTTTTTTCAATTTTAGGACACCAGCATAGCTCCCTTCGTGGCTTCCTCAAATCAGGTCTTCATAAAATTTCATGCTGATTATGCACGGCGTCCATCCGCATTCCGATTAACTTGGGACAGCTAAGTGGGTAACAACTCGTGTTCACTCAGCACTTTCCCTCTGCAGCACGCTGGACAGCACTCTGCCATCCTGATACATGACCCCTGCTGATGCCACAGAGAATAAGCTGAACTTGTATGGTTTTTCACCAAACCATGGATAGAATCAATATTTGTAGGCCAGGCGTGGTGGCTCACCCCCCTGTATTCTCAGCACTTTGGGAGGCCGAGGCAGGTTGATCACCTGAGGTCAGGAGTTTGAGACTAGCCTGGCCAGCATGGTGAAACCTCATCTCTCTAACAATATAATAATTAGCCAGGCGTGGTGGTGGGTGCCTGTAATTCCAGCCACTCGAGAGGCTGAGGCAGGAGAATTGCTTGAACCCAGGAGGCAGAGGTTGCAGTGAGCTAAGATCACACCACTACACTCCAGCCTGGGCGAGACGGCAAGACTCCATCTCAAAAAAAAAAGAAACAAAAAAAACCAGAATCAATATTTGTACATTTTCTCGAACATAGAATATAGCTTCTTTAGTCTTGAGTGTGCATTTCATTCTAATATTTTGAGCTGAAATTTAAAAAAACTTTGAAAGAGTTGGAAATGATTATGGCATATGTGACATACATTTTTAAAAGTTAATAATAATAGCCAGGGGCAGTGGCTCATACCCATAATCCCAGCACGCTGGGAGGCCATGATGGGAGGATTGCTTGAACCTAGGAGTTTGAGACCAGCCTGGGCAACAAAGTGAGACCTGATTTTTACAAAAAATCAAAAAATTAGCCAGGCATGGTGGCATGCACCCGTGGTTCCAGCTACACAGGAGGTTGAAGCAGGAGGATCACTTGAGCCCAGTAGGTTAAGGCTGCAGTGAAACCCTGTGAATTAACCACTGTACTCCAGCCTGGGTGACAGACTGAGACCCTATCTCAAAAATGACAACAAGAACAACAAAAGTTAATGATAATATAGAAGCATAAATTTCCTGTGAATGTTCAATTACACATAATAAACATTATTGAATTGTACACAATTATGCTGCATTAATTTTTTGACTTATTAAAACTCTGTCTTTCACTATGGGACATATATAAATTTTCAAGTTTAATTTTTACATTTTGGCAAAGAATTCAATATATATATGAATCTTCCAGAGCTTCATTTCTGGAGCCAAGCTGCCTGAGTTTCAATTTTAACTGTACTAGTTAAGTGCTTACACAATCTCTCTGTGCTCAGTTTCTTCATTTGTATAAGGGGATTATTTTACCTGTCTCACAGGGTTGCAATAATTAAGTATATATGTGTAAAGACTCAGAACAATACCTGGTGCATATTAAGTAATTGGTAAATGCTAGCTTCTATGTCAATTAGTAGTAGTATGACTCTCCTCCTTACCATACAGATGTACCTGCTTTTCCCATACTCCTCCAAAGCCAGGCCCAAGTCTCACCTGTGTTTACCTTTTGCCATGCCCCTAGGTCAATCTGAGCTTCTCCAAAGACCTTGCCTTAACTACAGAGAAGTTTGCCGTAACCTCTGAATTCTCTATTTCCCTCCCATTTGACTCAAACTTCTGTTTCTCCTGGCCACGCCGAACCTTTTCTTCATTTATCCCCAGGACCCTGTACTCTCCTGGTTATTTAATTTCTCTGAGTATTCTCCACTCTCCTGTAGAATGGTGGCCCTCTTCACACAGCTCCACTAGGCAGTGCCCCAGTAGGAACTCAGTGTGGGGCCTCCGACCCACATTTCCCTGCTACACTGCCCTAGTAGAGGTCCTCTGTGAGGATTCTGCCCCTGCAGAAGGCTGCTTCCTGAAAACCCAGGCTTTTCCATACCACCTCCAAAATCTGGGGAGAAGCTGCCAAGAATCTACCACTCTTGTACTCTGTGTGCCTGCAGGTTTAACACCCCGTGGAGGCTGCCAAGGCTTATGGCTTTCATTCTCCAAAGTGGCAGCCCAAGCTGTACCTGGGCCCCTTTGAGCCGTAGCTGGAGCTGGAGTGACCAGGGCGTGGGGAGCCCTGTCTTGAGCCTATGCAGGGAAGCAGGGCCCTGGGCCTGGTCCATGAAATCATTCTTTCCTCCCAGGCCTCTGGGCCTGTGATGGGAGGGGTTTCAGCAAAGGTTTCTGAAATGCCTTTGGGGACTTTTCTCCATTATCTTGGATATTAGCAGTTGGCTTTTGGTTATGCAAATATCTCTAGCAAGTGGATGCCTCACAGCCTGCTTGAATTCCTCTCCTGAAAAAGCTTTTTCTTTCTCTGCCATATGGCCAGGCTGTAAATTTTCCAAATTTTTACACTCTGCTTTCCTTTTTAATATAAGTTCCAATTCGAAGTCATTTCTTTGCTCCCACATCTGAGCACATGCTATTAGAAGCAGCCAGCCCAAATCTTGAACACTTTGCTGCTTAGAAATTTTTTCCACCAGATACCCCAGGTTGCCACTCTTTAGTTCAAACTTCCACAGATCCCTAGGGCATGGACAGAATGCAGCCAAGTTCTTTGCTAAGGCATAATATGTGTCACCTTTGCTCCAGTTCCCACTAAGTTCCTCATTACCATCGAAGACCTTGGCAGCCTGGACTTCATTATCCATATCACTATCAGAATTTTAGTTGCAACTTTTAAACAGTCTCTAAGAAGTTCCAAATTTTCCCTCATCTTTATGTCTTCTGAGCCTTCCAAACTCTTCCAACCTCTACCCATTATCTTGTTCCAAAGTCAGTTCCACATTTTCAGGTATCTTTATAACAAAACCCCACTCCTGGTACCAATTTTCTGTAATAGATCATTCTTGCATTGCTATAAAGAAATACCCGAGACTGGGTAACTTATAAAGAAAAGAGGTTTAATCTGCTCACAGCTCTGCAGGCTTTATAGGAAACATGGTGCTGACATCTGCTTGGCTTCTGGGGCAGCCTCAGGAAGCTTATAATCATGGAGGAAGGCGAAGGGGAAACAGGCATGTCACACGGTGAAAGCAGGAGCAAGACAGCGAGAGTATGGGACAGGTGCCACACACTTTTAAGTGGCCAGCTCTCATGTGAACTCAGAGCAAGAGCTCACTTATCACCAAGGGTATGGCCCAAGCCATTCATGAGGGATCTACCCCCACGATCTAAACACCTCCCACCAGGCCGATCTCCAACACTGGCTTTTATAACTCAACATGAGATTTGAGCAGGGACAAATATCCAAACTCTATTATGTATTTACGCTCAGGAGTACAAAGTTTCCATAAGCACCACCATTGCCTATTCCTTAACACAATATGTTAAGTTATAAATAAACAATATGGTTTGCCACTTAACAAGAAGTAGAAAGTTCAGTAGCACATCCTTATCTCCAATGCTGCCAGACATGTAACTAAGTGAGGTAGTTATTAGCTTCCTTTTCATAAGAAAATTCAATGCTTTTATAAAGTTTTTCAGTGCCTCTAGAAAAGCGGAAGCCTTTACAAAGGAGATTTGCTTTATGTTAATTATGCAAAATCAAGGGTTATTAACAAAAGACCATGTGAATGAGAGAAGCTGAGGAATGTAACTTCATCTTACTCTAATACTCAAATGGCAGATAATTATTTCTGGACAGAGTATGGAGCCACAGAAATAAAATACTCTAACCTTGAAAATTCAGCTACTCAGGAGGCTGAGGCTGGACAATCACTTGAACCTAGGAGGCGGAGGTTTCAGTGAGCCAACATCGCGCCACTTCACTCCAGTGTGGGTTACAGAATGAGACTCCATCTCAAAAAAACAAACAACAACAACAACAATTCCTGCTCCCTTTTTGTATTATGGATAGACATATCAACTTTATGGGTGACAATTACATTGGAAAGGACAGTGAATGCGATAAGTAACACCATCAAATCCAAAAGGTCTTGATAAGCTACAACAATGGGCCAATTGTAACAGACGAAATGTGACAGATATAAGATCTTCCTCTTTTATCAAAAAATGAATTGCAAAAGTACAGAATACAGGGAAAGTTTAACAATAACATGAAATGACATAGTACTTTTCTGAAAGAAAGATTAACATGATGTCACTGTCAAAAAAATGATGCTTAGAGCATGGACTGCATCATTAGAGTAACGGTATCATTTCCACTCAGAAGGGCATGCTTTTCTAGGAGGCATATTGGAATATCTGGGAAGTGTGTACCTGAAATTGAGGAAAGCATAGTCAATATTATTATGTAATTTTAAAATTAAAAATACAGAAAAAAAGAGACAAAATGAAGCTTTACAAAATCTTCCAGGCTGGGCATCTAGGAAATAAGCAGTGATTTTTTAGTGGGTTAGGGATGGTCAGGCTTGGGAGCATGACATTTTCGTGTATAGCCAAGGGAAGTAGTTATTGAGTAATTCAGTTTTTGAGTAATTCAGCTGGAAGAAGGAGAAAAGAGTCAACTGTACTCTCATTCGTAAGACCCACCGTATATCCTCTGGTTCTGCTTTACATTTAATTCACTTGTTTCCAAATGTTTATTGAGCATCAGCTATGTGATACGTACTCAGCGCACTGAGGATAAAGCAGAGAACAAGACAGCCATACAAGACTATCAGCTGATGTCTCCCAGCTTCACAAAGCACACTTCCCAGCTCCATCTTGCTTGATTTCCTGAGCCAGTCCTGAGGCAAAAACCTTAATATTCTTATCTGGTGAAACATACATTGAGCCAACTTCCCAGATCTAGTGGCCAAGGGATAAGTTTCCTGATTCCAAATTGTGTCACCATGAAGTTTCACTGCTAGCAATCAGGACCCTGGACAGGCTAACCATCATCCTAGCAAATTAATCAAACCTGAGAAGGGGGTGTGGGAACCCTGATTTATAGCTGGTCAGTCAGAAGTGTAGGTGACAGTCAACCTAAAGTCTTGTGGAAATGAACCCTTAACTTGTGGGATTTGACTATAAGTTGAGGTAGACAGTGTCAGAATTAAGTTAAACTGTAAGACACCGAGCTGGTGTCTGCTGGAGAACTGTTTCATGTGTGGGGGATTCTCTGGTGTCAGAAGTGTTGAGCCAGTGGAGAGTAGCAAAAACAGTTTGGTTTTTCCTATCTCAAACAGGAGTGAAAACAAATTCCTATGAAACAGAAGTGAATGGAGGCATGCAGCTCAAAATAACTTCAAGAGAGACATGCAGGAGGGCTGGGACTCTCTGTTCCAGGTGTAACCTGGATGTGGGGCTGGCTGGTGCAGTGTGAGGGGCTAAAACCAAAGTCAGGGAGTTGCCCTAACTGGCACTCACAATCCACCATTTCCCTCCACCTGCAAAGGTAGCCGGGTGATGACCTGCAGGCATAATACTGGGTTCTTGCCTCTGAAGAAATTCGACTATCAGTCTAGGGATCTAGGAGGAAAACAATACAAACAAACAAGAGACCACTCCAGCTATCTAGAAAAACCAGTTCAGATCTTCACACTTGAACTCAAAAGAACAACCAAGAATCAATCACCAGAGAGGGGAAGAATCTTTCTTTTCTAGGGAAAAGACTAGATAAATACACGTAAGAATGGACCCTTGAAGAAACATAATTGAGTGAACAGAAGAGAGGTTTAAAAACTATTATCCTCGGTGATACCTGAGAAGAGAGTACATTCATGAAACAAATGCAGGGTGTTATTATAGGCCGGCAGTCCAATAGGACTGGTGTCCTTAGAAGAAGAGACACCAAGGGTGTGACTGCATAGAGAAAATGCCCTGGAGGGACACCAAGAGAAGACAGTCGTCCACGAGGCAGGGGAGAGGCCACAGGATAAATCAAATCTGCTGGCACCTTGATCTAGAACTTCCAGGATTGTGAGAAATTTCTGTTGTTTAAGCCATCCAGGCTGTGGTATATTGTTACGACAGCCCTAGCCGACTAACACAGGTACTGTATGTCTTCAGCCTACCTAGGCAAGATTCACTATTAGAAATTGATAGAATAAGAAAAATTCTGATTGCTTCAAAACAGGACTTTTGCTTTAAAAGAGTTAATGATTCAAGAAATAAATGTATTAGGAGATTACCTACTAATACGTATTGATGAAATTATGAAGTTAGAAAATCATCAGTGGATGCTAAAACTTGTGGGTAAAAATTAGATGAGGAATGGGGTGTAATCAAGTAGCACCTCCCCCCAGCATTATTTTTAATCATAAAGAAAAAAATAGTAACTTTATGGTGAAGAAACCTGGCAGACACTACCTTATTTAAGTGAACATCACCTATACTGGGAGAAACCGATGCCATCTGTACCTTGATATCATGCACTGGAAAAGACACATCGCTTTAGTGGTGTTTCTCCAAAAATTCATAACCTGAAAGGGAACATCAAACTTACTTTGAAGGATATTCCACACAATACCTGGTCTGTATTCTTAAATAATGTCTAGTTCAATAAACATAAAAGCCAAGGACGGTTCCAGATCAAAGAAGACTAATGGAGGAATAACTCTTTCATCTGGAATGTTTTTTAAGCAAGAAATACCTGCTTTCGAATTTAAGAGTGCAGATCCTTTTTTTATCCAATTGGTTCGGAGATATAATTACATTATTTTACCACATCTCCTTAAGGCTTTGATCCCTGCTACAATCTACAATATATAAATGCATATGTGTGGCATCCGTCTTATCATCAATTTAGGTGACCAGTAGAAGAAAAGTGCCTGGTGCCAATTTTTATTCCATAGTATAAAATAGTCTCTCAGGACAGGGTTTTTGGTGAGAGAAGCACAGGATGTTGCTGGGTGACTGAGACTGGGTCAGGAAATAGGGAGGCAGAGGGCAACAGTTTCTCTAGAATTTAAAATTTGGTTGCTTTTGGAAGAGAAAGCAAGAGATTCCTGGAAGCCAGAACGTCATGTTTCACAAATGTAAAAGTCCTAGTTGGGAAAGACACATCGCTTTAGTGGTGTTTTCAAATGACTTTTAAAATAGTAGGGTTTTACTTGTAGGTTCTAGCTACAAGTAAAAAGGCTAAAAGCCAGCCTTAGAAACCTGTCAAAAAAGATTTCCAGCAGGGCGCTGGGGAAACGCAGACCGCGCCGGAATCCCCGCCTGGAGAAGCTCTTAATAGGGCGGGAAACTGCGTGCCCCACAAGGTCCCTCAGAGGCACATTGTGGAGACGGGCTCAGGGTAGCAACTTCTGGCGAGTGGAGCGGCTATTACACAAGCGAAACATTCGGAAGCAATTTACTTCCAGCTTTCGCAACACCCACCCTGAGCCACCACCCTCCCTTACACAGTCACGCCACAAACTTCCCCACTTCCGCCCACAGCCCTCTGGGCTTCGACCCATCAACTGAGCTTGCGCCAAGTCTACTGCGCACGCGCCAACTTCGGCCCAATCAGCGTCCCAAACCGTGGGGTGGACGCCACCGGGATAAACTATCCTCAGCGTGGGGCGGGGTCTCGAAGCCGAATAACGAACGTGATTAGCCAGCCTCTTCCACAGACTTTTAAGGGCGGAGCCTGGCCCTGGAGACACGTCTGGAGAGCTGTTCTCCTAATATGGGTAGGGTCGGGCGTGGAGCTGGCAGCGGCGCTGTGTGCGCCTGCGCGGGGCGCCGAGACAGGGCGTGTTCGCTGTTCAGTGCCGGTGTTGCAGGGAGTGAGGGCAGCTGGAGTGCGTTCTGCCGAAGCTTGTGGTTGCACGCCCATCGTCTTAGGGGCTACCTTCCGTGGTGAGTGTGTGCGGTGTTGCACTTGGGGTTGCTTCTCGCTGCGTGGCCGCAGCGGGGCTGAACCCTTCCCACTCCATCCCCTCCCCGCACCCGGACCAGCCCCTGGGACGCCCTCGGACGCCCACCCGCTCCAACCCTGGGGAAGCCTCAGAGTGGCAGCGAAGGCCTCTTGCCTTTCCGCCTCTGCGCTTGCTGTCATCGCCCACGTGCTTTGTTGTTGTTCGGTGCAGACCATGTCCAAGTCTCTGAAGAAGTTGGTGGAGGAGAGCCGGGAGAAGAACCAGCCCGAGGTGGACATGAGTGACCGGGGCATCTCCAACATGCTGGATGTCAACGGCCTCTGTGAGTTCTCGGGCAGGACTCTCCCGTGGATGAGCTGGAAGGCTTTCTAAGTTTGCCAATTCACTGCTGGTCCTGCTGTGAGCGATTGTACTGGTTTAGACCCCAGCCCCTGCTTGTAAACCTCACTTGTCAGGGGCTTCGCGCAGAGGGTTTGCAGTAGGATTTGTTCTGTTCCACCTGGAAAACGATCCTGAGAGTCCACGATGAGAATCACACAGACAGCTGTGCCTCATCGGTTGTCTCTGCTGTATGGCATTGAGGTGGATTTTCCACAGTTTGCTTAATAGTCACTTTAATTATAAATTGAAAATTAATTTTGAGTCCTTCTTCCTGTCTCCTAATACAGTCTTTGTCCATGAACAAATGACACAGAAAAGTTCCATGGTTAATAAGCATTCTTGTGCCTGGAGCGTTTTAAGCATTTCTTGAATCTTTACATTCTTCTGAGTATTTATTCTCCGAACTTGGTTCAGGCTTTTGTCACCTCCTCATGCTGTGGTGAAATCCTCCTAACTTGCCCTCTTGCCTTCAGTTTCACTGCCCAGTTTAATCACTGGGTCACTTTCAGTGTCATTTTCCTGTAACCCCTGTCTATGGTGTTACCCTCTCCCTTAAAACCAGGGATTGCAGATTCACATGCCTCCAAGTGAGGGCGGTCAGGGGCGGTTATGAACTAGGTGATAGGTGTCCCACTTGAAGGGGCCAGCTGCTGCACCTGCTACTCAGACACATGTCACCATAGGAATGTTGGCCCAATGTGCCAGATTATTTTCTTAAAGGAACCAAGATTCTATATTTTTATGTGAAATTTGCTAATTTTTAGATGTTGGCTACTAATTCTAATATTTGAAAAACCTGTGATAAGTGAGCTAAAGCAGTTCTTCAGGCTGACGTGGCTTTGGTTTAAACCCTCTCCGCACTTCTCCAGGTTGTCCATTATCGACGGTAATGCTCCAGGTTTCTTGGCGTGATGTACAAGGCCTTTCTGAATCTGAACACAACCTTACCCTTCCATGCAGCTGGCATTCCAGCCATTCTGAACCTGTTGCCCTTCCTGGACCAGAGCCTACTCGTTCAGATCTTGGTGCCTTTACAAATTCTGTTTTCCCTCTTTCTCAGTCGTTTGCACCTGAAATCCTTTTACTTCTAAGAGTCAGCTTAGACATCACCACCTGTGTAAAACCTTATCCGTCTGCACCAGGCTAACATATCCCTTCCCTCCTCTGTGAAGGTGGTCGTGTGTATTGCTTTGTGACTCCTCTCACATAGGATTGTACTGATTTTTTTCTTTTTTAATCTAGAAGTCTCTCTTCTCTGCTGGGACATTGGGAAGACAAAAGCTGTGCAATATTCATGCTTGCATTTTTTTAATAATAGTGCCTGGAGCACAGTAGATGCTCAAAAATAGTTGAGGAATGAAGAAAATGAAAGA
Source organism: Homo sapiens (assembly GCF_000001405.40). Lineage (NCBI taxonomy): Eukaryota > Metazoa > Chordata > Mammalia > Primates > Hominidae > Homo > Homo sapiens. The sequence continues at coordinate 16,815,540 of NC_000010.11, read as the reverse complement.
ATGATGGATTAGGCCTGTGAGTTTGGGATATCAACTCCAGGATGTGACAAGAGAGAAGAAGGGAGATGTTCAGGAGACCCTGAAAGGCGATGGATAGCCATTTAGGCATGGAGAGAACTGCAGAGTCAGGTTTACTGTGAATTCACGGTTTTCACGGTTCGAAAACCTGCCTGGGACAGAGGTTGGAGTTGATGCTATTGATATGTCTTGGCAGAAGGAAAAGGGAGGAAACGTAGATTTGCGTTTCGTAGGCTTTATGAAAATACGTGCCATTAAACTTAGGTTGTGTACTAGTTAGCCTCTCAGGCTTGGTGTGTGTTGGTCTCTTGCATTCCGTAAGGGTCCTTGCTGTCAGCAACTGAGCAGATGCCTCTGGAATTGGATATCTGAGTTTGCCCCTTGCTGCGCCTGCCCGGCTCTGCCATGACCATGGTCATTATTGGGGGCACTGTTGATACAGAGGAGAAAGAGAAGGGGATAGGGAAGATGATGCATAGCGGGAACCTTGGCCCCATGGCCTTCCTCCCTACAGCACTCATTCTCACCAGGTAGAAGAGAGGCTGCTTTCAGCAGAGGAGCTTTGTACCCTTCGGCTTTTGAAGAGGAGACTTTATGTAATATTTATAAATGGGGAGAATGGCTTAGCTATTTCGGTTCAGCTCCGTTATCTCTTTGAAGCCTTGGCTTTTATTAAGGAAGAAAAGCCACTTGCTTCCTGAAATATATTTCCGGTATAACATTGGGTGGTGAAAAGCGAGATCATTCTTAAATTTTCCTAAAGAAGTAGCTAACAACGGATAATAGTACTTTTTGGGAAGTTGGGTGGAAGTGAATTTGGAGATTTGCAGATTCCATCTCCTCTGGCTTCTGTAGCATTGAGCCAAGGCTGCTCTCTGCAAACTCCCTGACCTCAGGACTTCTCGGAGCCTAGGGGGTTCCAGGATGCTCTTCGAAGCCTCCACCAGGGCTCACTTCTCAGCAGTGCACACACACTGACACAGTGCTTAATATATACAAGTATTAAAATACTTCACATGGCTACATTAATTATAAGTGTAAGAATTTTTTTTTCTTTTTTTTTTTTTTTTTCCTGAAAACAGGGTCTCGCTCTGTCACCCAGGCTGGAATGCAGTGGTGCAGTCACAGCTCCCTGGGGCCTCACCCTCCCAGGCTCAAGCAATCCTCCCACCTCAGCCTCCCGAGTAGCTGGGACTATAGGTACACGCCACCACGCCTGGCTAATGGTTTTATTTTTTATTTCTTTGTAGAGATGGGGTCTTGCTATGCTGCCCAGGCTGGCCTCAAACTCCTGGGCTCAAGGAGTGCCCCCATCTTGGCCTCCTAAAGTGCTGGCATTACACATGTGAGCTACCACACCCAACCTCCATGTTTCTTTACTGATAAACTTTTAGCTGTAACCAGGAAGTTTTATATACTAGTATCCAGCTTAAACACAGCTTAAACTTGTATGTACAGAGAATAGCTGTTTCTTGCATCTCAAGTTTTCCCTTTATTATTCTTACTTTGTTTAATTTCTCAAGAGGTTAGAATTAAGCTTTGAAGATAAAAGTAAGGTTTTGTACTACTAAGCATATGAGATGCCCGTCTTTCTTCCTGGGAGAGTTGTATCTTCTAACGCAGCCCTTCCTTAGAGACAGCAAATTACCTTTAAAAGATGTTTTGAGGAGTTTAGGTACCAAGAACTTTCTGATGGGGAAAACTTCTTAGGCTGGAGACAGGTATCAGACAGGTTCTACAGTTTTCTAGTAGTCCAGCCAGATTCTAGAAATGCTCACTTCCTACCATGAGAGGCAGAGGAGTACAGCACATAGGAGGGGAACCTGGATTTGGATAGACGTGGATTCAAATTCTGCTAGTTAGTACTGTGTAACCTTAGAGAAGCTACTTAACCTCTCTGATCCTCAAGTTACTTAATAATTGGTAGCCTAAGAAACCACTTCATAAGACTGGTTTAATGGTTTGCGTTAAATGCAATAATGCACATTAAATGTTAGTTATTAACTAGTGTTAGATCCAATAATGTACATTAAATGTTAACTATTAATATGAATATCCAGCTATAGACCCATATGTCTCAGACATACCCAGTTCCAACATAGTCAGTAGCCTGAACCAAGAACTTTACTTTGTTAACTCGACTGGGTAAGGCATTTGTATCAGGTGTTGGAATTTTTTGTGTGGCTTATTAGAACCTGTAGTGTTTGGTACTTTTGCCTAAGGTTCTAATTGATTTAGATAGCTATTTATTTAAAATTTGTCCTAATTTATTTATTTTCCATCATTTTGTTTTAACATGGCATGTAATTTGCACACACATTCTCGTTAAAGCTTCCAAGAACACCAGTGTGGGCAATAGAGTGAGACCCCATCTCTACAAAAAATTAAAAAATGAGCTGAGGGTGATGTGCAAGTCCCAGCTTTCAGGGAGGCTGCGGTGGGAGGATTGCTGGAACCCAGGAGTTTGAGTTTGTAGTGAGCTATGATCGTGTTACTAGGTGACAGAACAAGACCTTGTCTCTTAAAAAAAAAAAAAAGCTTCCCAGCATAATCGTAATGCTGCTGATTTTATTCTTTTTATTAAAGAGATTTCACTGCAGAAACTCTTTCCCAAGCAGCAGCTGTCTTCATCTGGTTGATAAAGTTGATTTTGAAGGGCCCTGTAATCAGCTTCCATTTCCATAGAGACAGAATCCCAGCTGTAGCCGGAGGAACTTTCTTTCATTTCTCTTATTTAAGTGTTTCCTGATTTTTTAATCTCTTCAAGTGTATTGCCCTCTCTGGGTGGTCAAGCCTTTATCATTTTTTTTCCAAGTTAGACTAAAATATTTTTCAGATAAATCTCGAAAACAACCTGCTTTCAAGGGAGTGGTCTTTCTAAAGGACCAGGCAAAATAATAAACAAATATGATCATGGGTTATCTGGAAGAGCTATCTCAAAAGTCTTGTTAAACCTGGAACACATGCTATCCATGTCGACCTTCTTTGGGGGATAGATTAAAGAGCTGGGGAGGACCTGTAATTTTAGATATAATCTATTAAAATCATTTTTTTGTTTTTTAATTTTTGTTTTTTGTTTTTGAGATGGAGTCTTGCTCTGTTGCCCAGGCTGGAGTGCAGTGGCGTGATCTCTGCTCACTGCAGCCTCCACCTCTTGGGTTCAAGCGATTCTCCTGCCTCAGCCTCCCCAGTAACTGGGGTTACAGGCGTGCGCCACCACACCTGGCTAATTTTTATATTTTTAGTAGAGACGGGGTTTCACCATATTGGCCAGGCTGGTCTTGAACTCGTGACCTCAAGTGATCCACCCGCCTTGGCCTCCCAAAGTTCTGGGATTACAGGCGTGAGCCACTGTGCCCGGCCTTAAAATTATTTATGTTTTCACTCCTCTAGGTTGTGTGTATGTGCCCACCTTTCTGTTTTTAAACACGCCGCTTCTTGGCCTGGGGAGCCCTTTTCGTTTTTCTCGCTCCAGCTAGCCCTTGCCCCCTTGTCAGTTAGTGCTTGTTGAAAGAAGGAAGGACTTAACTATTCACATGACTCCATTTCCTGTGACCTCCTCAAGGAGGCCCCTCGAGAATACTCAGTTCTGACCCACCATCCCATCCAGCCTAGCTGAAGTGTCTCTCTACTTGGCATAGTACTTGGGAAAAATTTATTGAAGAAGGAATGTTACTGCTTTTAGTTAAGAGATTCAGGTTGGCTAAGGGAGAAAGCATAGCTCTGGAGAAGGAGCATGTACTCTGTCTCCTTCCTGCAGGCTTCTCCGCAGTTTCCAGAGGGAAGCAGTTTCCAGCTATCAGGAACAAGATGGAACTGACAACTTCTATTTTTGATTGTATGATAGGGTTAAAACTGGAAATGCTTCATTGAAACAAAGAAGAGGTGTAGCCCCTTTGGCATGACTGAATCGGTAATGGCATTTGACTTTTTGTCAGTCCTCTGACATTCTGGCTCTAGTGGCCCTGGTGGCTTTTTTGTAAGCATCTTTTTTGTTTGCTACTAGCTGTGTATCCTTGGGCAAGTTGCTTGACCTCTCTGTGCCTCAGGTGCCTCATCTATAAAATGGGAATAATAAGAGCACCTCATAGGGTCATTGTGAATTAATATCTATAAGGGCCTAGTGTACCACCCGGTACCTGATGGTCTTAATACTTGCTATTATTAGAACACTCATGCATTACTTAATGGTGGGGATACGTTATGAGAAATGCATAATAAGATTTTGTCATTGTGTGGTCATTCCCAGAATGTCCCTACACACACCCAGATGGTGTAGCCTACTACACACCTGGGCTAGATGGTGTGCTTGTGACTCAGGCTTTTGCTCTTAGGCTACAAAACTGTACAGCATGTGATTGTATGGAATCCCATAGGGAATTGTAACATGATGGTGAGTGTGTGTGTCTTTATACAAAAACATACAGTAAAAATATAGTACATTATTGTTATCTCGTGGGACCGCTGTCATATTTGTGGTCCATTGTTTGTTTGTGTTTTTGAGACAAGGTCTCACTCTGTTGCCCAGGCTGGACTACAGTGGCATGATCTTGCCTCACTGTAGCCTCGGCTTCCTGGGCTCAAGTGATCCTCCCACCTCAGCCTCCCAAGTAGCGTAGATTACAGGCACATGCCACCACTGCCGGCAAATTTTTGTAATTTTTATAGAGATGGGGTTTCGCCATTTCTCCCAGGCTGGTGTTGAACTCCTGGACTCAAGCGATCTGCCTGCCCCAGCCTCCCGGGTGGTTCATTGTTGAGTGAAACATTATTAAGCGGTGCATGACTATTGTAAAAACCATTTTATCTGTGATGGTGTAACAAGTGCAAAACAATATCTTTATTTCTTGGAAACGTTGGTGATGGTACTTCTCAGTGGTCTTTGCCCACCTGTCCCATGGTCTTGTCAAACCAGCACACCCACTGCCTTATTCCTCACCTGAGTCAGAATTCCCAGGAGAAGTTGGGCGGCTGGGCCCAGTGTGCTAGGGTCAAGAGGAACAGCCGTTGCCACACACTGGCGAGTTCAGAGCTGTGCATAGCCCGGGGGGCGGCTGCTGGGGGAACAGCAGCAGGATTTTCGTTGGGATGTGCTTGTGGCCAAGTTTCTGTTGAGAATGGCAGACATGCTTTGAAAACTGGTAATTTTTCCACTAATAATTAAAATACTCTGTGTCCTGCAGTAACTATTTATTGAATGTATTTTTTTATGATAGGCATTATGTAACCAGAGTTCGTTTGGGAGTTTACATTGAATTTTTTAATTTCTATTTTTTTATTTTTTTATTTTTTGAGACACAGTCTCACTCTGTTGCCCAGGCTGGAGTGCAGTGGCGCGATCTTGGCTCACTGCAACCTCCGCCTCCCAGGTTGAAGCAATTCTCCTGCCTTGGCCTCTGGAGTAGTTGGGATTACAGGTGCCAGCTACCATGCTCCGCTAATTTTTGTATTTTTGGTAGAGATGGGGTTTTGCCATGTTGGCCAGGCTGGTCTTGAACTCCTGACCTCAGGTGATTCACCTCCCCCCCCCACCCCCGGCCTCCCAAATTGCTGGGATTACAGGTGTGAGCCAATGTGCCTGGTCTTATATTGAATTTTAAAATTATCTACTGAGAAATTATTGTTTGTTATGTTAAGATGACTATAAGGTGTCTATTACATGTGAAGTAGTTATATTTTCACCATAAGAACTATAACACTCACTGCTTTGCCATTATAACCAATGCTACAATTGGTATGGATAATAATTGAAAACCATACCCTGTATTATTTATTCATAAATTCACATGAACCTAGTTGAAAGAAAACACAATCTAGATACAGGAGATCCATTGTTAGAGAAAAGACTAGAGATGACTTTTTTTTTAATTCAGCGTAAAGACCTCTTCTTTGGATAGCAAGTTTGTGCAGGTGGGTTAATTTTTTTATTTTTTAAACCAAAGGATGATGTAAAAATGTGGCCAAGGAGCATTTGGTCTAGATCAAGTGTGTGAGCAGCAGGGGTCAGTGTTGAGCCTCTGTGTTTTGCTCCTGGGCTCCCTGGGAGGCTGGACACAGCTCGTCTCATCTCCACACAGAGCTTTGCTGCCTCTACAGTTCTTCCACCTTCATTCGCCAGGTTCTGTCTTTGGGTAGAGAGATGGAGTCTTAATGGCATTTTATCTGTGTAGCTCACAGTGAAAGAAATCTCACGTATGTTACAGTCAACCAGAGCATCTTTGAGGTTGGCATGTTTCACAGCTGCCTTGCATGTGGCCTCTGAATAGAGAAGTGCTGATCAGAGCATGTTTCCAATCAAAGGAAATGGAATTTGCAGTGTCCCCATTGAGCAGATTCCATCAGCGTGTGATGCTTAATGCTGTAAAACAGTATTTCAGGTTTGAGGTGCTAGCAAAGCCCAAAAGGCCAATAATAGGATTAATAGTACCTACTTTGTTAATGTCCTACGGCTGCAAAACAAAACACCGCAGGCTGGGTGATTTTGACAACAGAAATTTATTTCCCACGGTCCTGGAGGCTGGAAGTTCAAGATCATAGTGTCAGCAGGGCTGGCTGCTCCTGAGGCCTCTCTCCTGGGCTTGCAGGTGGCCGTCTTCTTGCTGTGCTCACATGATCTTCCCTCTGCATCCCTGCTGTCCCTCAGTCTGTTCAGTTTCCTCTTCTCATGAGGACAATAGTCAGATTGGGATAGGGTCCACCTTAAGGACCTCATTTTAACCTGATCGCCTCTTTAAAGGCCCCATCTCCAAATATAGTCACATGTTGAGGTATTTGGGATTGGGGCTTCAGCATATTAGTTTTGGGAAGACATAGTTCATTCCATAACATCTAGATTAGAGGTTCTCAAATGATACAGACCTGAGTGCCTACTCTGTGGTAAGTGCTTCTCACACTCATAACATCCCTCTTTGGTTCACCTACCGTCAGCATTTTATAGATGAGAAAGTAGAGAGCTATGGAGGTTCTATAAAGTCCCCAGTGTCACTCAGGCAGTGGTGGAAACGGAGTTCACTTTGTTTTTTTTTTTTTTTTTTTTTCTTAAATGGAGTTTCACTCTTGTTGCCCAGGCTAGAGTGCAGTGGCATGATCACGGTCACTGCAGCCTCCGCCTCCCAGGTTCCAGCGATTCTCCTGCCTTAGGCTTCCAAGTAGCTGGGATTACAGGCACCTGCCACAACGCCTGGCGAATTTTTTTAATTTTAGTAGAGATGGGGATGGGGTTTTGCCATGTTGACCAGGCTGGTCTTGAAATCCTGGCCTCAGGTGATCCACCTGCCTTCGCCACTCAAAGTGTTGGGATTACAGGTGTGAGCCACTGCGCCCGGTTGGAGTTCACTCTTGAGTGTGTCTGAAAGGTTTGCTGTGTGATACTGTGCTGTGTTGTATCCTAGCCCCGAAGGGCTCACCAGGGCCAGGCTTGGATGCCAAGGAGAGGTGACTCCTAGGGCCTGCCTTACCGTAAGGCATTCATTTTCAGAATTCTTTTTTTTTTTTTTTTTTGAGACAGAGTCTTGCTGTGTCACCCAGGCTGGAGTGCAGTGGCGTGATCTCGGCTCGCTGCAAGCTCTGCCTCCCAGGTTCACGCCATTCTCCTGCCTCAGCCTCCCCAGTGGCTGGGACTACAGGCACCCGCCACCAAGCCCGGCTAATTTTTTGTATTTTTCGTAGAGACGGGATTTCACCGTGTTAGCCAGGATGGTCTCAGTCTCCTGACATCATGATCCGCCTGCCTCAGCCTCCCAAAGTGCTAGGATTACAGGTGTGAGCCACCGTACCTCGTCTCAGAATTCTTTAAAACACTGTGTTAAGCAAATAAAATAGTGTTATTGGGCTAGCCCTGCCAGCTTGGAAACTTGGGTTTACAGGATGGTTGCAGAGCTTTAACTGTTGAAGAAAACATAAGAAGCAACTTAATCTCCATCAATATTAGCAGAACCCTCCCCACTTTCTTTATGGTTTCCTGAAAAACTATTAATCTCAATAGAATGGAATGATCAGATGTGAGATCTTTGTATACCGTATGTTAATTCATTTTCTTTTGTCTTCAAACTTAGAACATTAGCTTAAAACACTACAAAGTATGGGGCTGGAAAAGATTGTGTTGGGGAAATATTGGTTCATGTATCAAATAGAATAAACCTGAAGTACATTAAATGGTAGTTTTAGTTATAGTATCCATACCTCATAAAGATCCTTCTTATTTCATCCGTTTCTTTGCATATCCATTAATTATTCCTTTGGACTCTGTGTAACTTATAATTTTAAGGGTGAGGCCAAATGAAAGGCACACATCAGAACAAGCAATTACTTGCAAGGAGGTTTCGCCTCTTAGTTTTTCAGGACACAGTGCAGACCGGAGAACGGTAATGTGGTTTGCAATCTCAGTGTTTGAATGGTGGTCTATGTAACTTGGTGTTCTTAACAGCTGTAAGTGAGGCTGGGCGCAGTGGCTCATGCCTGCTGTAATCCCAGCCTGACTCATGCCTGCTGTAATCCCAGCGCTTCCGGAGGCCAACGTGGGTGGGTCACCTGAGTGAGGTCAGGAGTTTGAGACCACCCTGGCCAACATGGTGAAACCCCCTCTCTACTAACAATACAAGAATTAGCTGGGTGTGGTGGTACATGCCTGTAATCCCAGCTACTTGGGAGGCTGAGGCAGGAGAATCACTTGAACCTGGGAGGTAGAGGCTCCAGTGGGCTAAGATCACGCCATTGTACTCCAGCCTGGGCGACAAGAGTGAGACTCTTTCAAAATAAATAAATAATGAAACAGCTGTAAATGCTTAAGTCTTTAGGGCGTGTCAAAGATGCCTATGTAATTTATTATATGTTTGTATTCTACAACGTTGTGCACTCTTTGTTAGGAGGATGAAAATAATAGATAATATGATTGAAATACCATGCCATCTATGCATGGAGTGTATTAATATAATACACGCACACATTTACCACATACCAGGCATTGTGCTAAGCCCTCTGTATGGATTAATCTTTCAAACCTCACAATGTATTGTCATTATATAGTTAATAGGTAAGGAAACAGATTTAAGGAGCATCATTAACTTGCTCAAAGTCACCCAGGCAATAAGTGGTAGAGCCCAGATTTGAAGCCACACCTGCAGACGTCGGAAGCAGTGTTCTCAGCTTCTCCTGTTTTGCCTTACTGGTTTCTGACAGTCATATGCACATACCCTGTGGAGGAGATGAAGATAACGGCTAATTCAGCGAGCATGCTGAGTGCCTGTGGCCACCCGGTCATGTTCTAGAAGCCATGGTAGCTGTCCTGTCTGGGCTAATGATTCTGTAACAATTTAGGAATGCATTCAGGGACACTACCTATGTTTATCCCATTTGAACCAGGGAAACAGGAACCTTCATCTTCCCAAAATACTTACACATAGTTTTAAAAAAATCTATTCCAAAAAACCTTATTGAAGTATTCGTATCGATAAGTGCATAATGACAGTACAAGTTGACAGATTTTCAAAGCAAGAAACATTATCAGTAGGTTGGGAGCTGGTGCTCCTCCTAGTCACTCTCCCTTTAAGTCCTGAGACTGCCAGCCTCCTGAGCTTATACTGGTAGTTCCAATGGAAATACATAACAGAATGCAAGGCTTTTACTTAACTCCTCCTTCTAGTCCTCATCTTGACCTCCCTTCCACTCGGAAGCGTGCCTCTTACAGATATGGGTGATGATAGAATTGGAATATCTCACAGTCTCAGATTTGGTACCTGACACGCAATTAACAATACTAATATTACTAATGCCAGTATTGCTAAAAACAGTTGTCTTATGCATATGCTATCTTCATTCTCCCTCTTTAAAAAAAAAAAAGCTTTTTTTTTTTTTTTTTGAGACGGAGTCTCGCTCTGTCGGAGTGCAGTGGCGTGATCTCCGCTCACTGCAAGCTCCGCCTCCCGGGTTCACGCCATTCTCCTGCCTCAGCCTCCCGAGTAACTGGGATTACAGGCGCCCGCCACAACGCCTGGCTAACTTTTTTTTTTGTATTTTTAGTAGAGACAGGGTTTCACCGTGTTAGCCAGGATGGTCTCGATCTCCTCACGTCGTGATCCACCCTCCTCGGCCTCCCAAAATGTTCGGATTACAGGCGTGAGCCACCGCTCCCGGCCAAAAAAAGGCTATTTTTTGAAGAGCAGTTTTCGATTCACAGAGAGCTGGAGCAGGAAGTACAGATCCACGTCTCTCCTCCATCCCCCGTTCCTAGTTTCCCATATTAACATCTTGCATTGGTGTGTTACGTTTGCTATGATTGCTGGACCAATATTGATGCGTTATTATTATTATTATTATTTGAGATGGAGTCTCACTCTGTCACCCAGGCTGGATTGCAATGGTGTGATCTGGGCTCACTGCAGCCTCTGCCTCCCAGGTTCAAGGGATGCTCCTGCCTCAGCCTCAGCCTCCCGAGTAGCTGGGATTACAGGCAGGCGCCATCACACCCGGCAAATTTTTTTTTAATTTTTAGTAGAGATGGGTTTTCACCAAGTTAGCCAGGCTGTTGATGCATTATTATTAACTAAAGCTTATAGCTAACATCAGGGTTCACTGTATATAGTATAGTTTTATGGGTTTTGGCAAATTAATGTAATGTATTCACCGTTACAGTATCACATGGAACAGTTACACTGCTCTAAAAATCCTCTCTGCTTTACCTCTTCATCCCCTCTCCCTCATTATCTACCTCCAAAACCTCAGACAACCACTGAAATGTTACAGTTTGTCTCTATAATTTTACCCTTTCCAGAATGTCATATAGCTGGAATCGTAGGGTATATAGCCTCTACAGATTGGCTACTTTTGCTTAGCAACATGCATTTAAGATTCCGCCATGTCTTTTTGTGGTTCGATAGCTCATTTCTTTTTAGCAGTGAATAATACTCCATTGTCTGGATGTACCACAGTTTGGTTATCCATTCACCTATTGGATGATATTTTGGCAGCTTCCAACTTTGGACAATTATGAATAAAGCTGGTGTAAACATTGTTGTGCAGATTTTTGTATAGACAGAAGATTTCAGCACATCTGGGCGAATACCTAGGAATGTGATTACTGGATCATGTGATAAGATTATGTTTAGCTTTATAAGAGACTATTAAGCTGTCTTCTCGAGTGGCTGTACCATTTTGTTTTCTACCAATAAAGAATGAGGTTTCCTGTTGCTCCACATCCTCACCAGCATTTGGTGTTGTTGGTGTTTTGGATTTTAGCCATTTTAGTGGGTATGCAGTGGTATCTCATTGTTTCCATTTGCAATTCCTTAATGACATATGATGCCGAGCATCTTTTCATATGCTTATTTGCCATATGTTTATCTTCTTTGGTGAGATGTCCATTCAGATTTTTCACGTACTTTTTAATTGGGTTGGTGTTCCTGAGTTTTAAGTCTTTTTTTTATATTTTGGATACTAGTTCTTTATCAGATATGTGTGTTAACAAATACTTTCTCCTTGTTGGCGCTGGTCTTTCATTCCCTTAATGATATTTTTCACACAGCAGAAATTTTTAATTATAATGAAGTCTTATCAAGTTTTTCCTTCGTAAGTTGTGCCTTTGGTATTGTATCTAAGAAGTCATTGCCAAATCTCAGGTCAACTAGATTTTTCTCCTTTGTTATATCTAGAAATTTTTATAGCTTTGTGTTTTTCATTAGGTCTGTGATTCATTTGGAGTTCATTTTTGTGAACGATGTTAGGTCTTTGTCTAGATTGATTTTTGTGTGTGTGTTGATGTCCATCTGTTTCAGCACCGTTTGTTGAAAAGACTCCTTTTCTCACTGAATTGCCTTTGCACTTTTGCCAAAGATTAGCTGATTATATTTGTGTGGGTCTATTTCTGGGCTTTCTATTTTATTCCAGTGACCTACTTGTCTATTGTTTCACCAACTCCACACTGTCTTGTTACTATAACTGACATTAAGTTTTGAAGTTGGTCAGTGTCAGTGCTCCAACTGTATTTTCTTCAATATTGCATTGGCTGTTCTGCCTTTCCATGTAAATTTTAGGATCAGTTTGTTGATATCCATAAACTTGCTGGTATTTTGACTGGAATTGATATGTAGATCAACTTGGGAAGAACTGACATCATAACAGTGTTGAGTCTTCCTGTTCATGAACCTGAAGTATCTCATTGTTTATTTAGGTCTTTGATTTCTTCCATACTAGCTTTGAAGCTTTTCTCATATAGAGCTTGTACATATTTTGTTAGCTATATATCTAAATATTTCATTTGTTTGGTGTTAATGTAAATGGTGTGTTTTTAATGTAAAATTCTATTTTTTTATATAGAAAAGCAATTGCCTTTGTATATTACCTTGTATCCTGCAAACTTGCTGTAGTTATTAGTTTCAGTTCTTCTTTGTTGATTCTTTGGGATTTTCTACGTACACATCATATTATCTGTGGAGAAAGACAGTTTTAATTCATCCTTTCCAATCTGCATACATTTTGCTGCTTTTTCTTACCTTACTGCGTTAACAAGGACGTCCAATCTGATTTTGGCTAGAAGTGGTGAGAGGGGACATCCTTGCCTTGTTCCCAACTGTAGTAGGAAAGCAACTAGTTCCTTAACATTAAGTATCTTGTTAATTGCAGGTTTTTTGTAGATATTTTTTATTAAGTTGAGAAAGTTCTTCCTCTATTCCTAGTTTGCTAAGAGTTTTTATGGGTGTTGAATTTTTCCAGTGCTTTTTCTGCCTCTATGCATATAATCGTATGGATTTCCTTCTTTCACCTGTTTGAAGTGATGGATTGCTTTTGTTTTTGAATTTGAACCACCTTTGCATACCTGGAGTAAGTTCCACTTGGTCATTGTGTGTACTCTTAGTACATTTTTGAATTTATTTGCTAACGCTTTGTAGAGGATTTTTGTATCTATGTCCATGAGAGAGATTGGTCTGTAGTTTCTCCTTTTTGTAATGTCTTTGGCTTAATGAGTTAGAAATTGTTCTCTTTGCTTCTATTTTGTGAAAGGTATTGTAGAGAATTGGTATAATTTCTTCCTTAAACGTTTGGTAGAATTCATGAGTAAACCTATCTGGGCATAGTGCTTTCTCTTTTAGAAGGTTATTAATTTATGATTCAATTTCTTTAATAGACGTAGGCCCACTCAAATGATCTGTTTCTTCCTGTGTGAATTTTGGTAGATTATGTCTTTCCAGCAGTTGGTCCATTTTATCTAAGTTATAACATTTTTGGACATTGAGTTGTTTATAATGTTACTTTATTATCCCTTTAACATCCATGAAATCAGTAGTAATGGCCCTTCTTTCATTTCTGTTTGTAATTTGTTCGTTCTTTTTTTTTTTTTGGTTAGCCTCCCTACAGGATTACCAGTTTTATTGATCTTTTCCAAAAACCAGCTTTTGTACTCAGAGATTTTCTCTATTATTTCCCCTTTTAAGTATCACTGATTTCTGCCCTAATTTTTATTAATATTTTTCTGTTTACTTGTAGTTCAATTCATTCTCATTTTTCTTGTTTTCTAGGGTAGAAGTTTAGATTATTGATTTTATTAGGTTGGTGCAGAGGTAATTGCCGTTTTGCCATTACTTTTGCACCAACCTAATAGAACTGTCTTGTTTTGTAATACATGCATTTAATGCTATAAATTTCCTTTAGCATTGATTTTGCTGCAGTTCACAAATTCTGATAAGTAGTATTTTCGTTTTCATTTAATTAAAATATTTTTAAAAATTTTTTGACATTTCTTTGACATGTTATTTAGAAATATGTTGTTAATGTCCAGATGTTTTGGGATTTTTCAGCTATCTTTCGTTTGATTTCTAGTTTAATTCCAATGTGGACTGAGAGCATATATTGTATAATTTCTATTTTCTTAAGTTTAAGGGGTGTTTTATGGCCCAGAATGTGGTCTATGTCTATGAATGTTCTGTGCAAGCTTCAGAAGAATGTGCATTTTTCTGTTAGATGGAGTAGTCTATAGATGTCAATTATATCCAGCTGATAGATGGTGGTGTTGTGTTTTTAACTCTGTCCTTACTGATTTTCTGCCTGCTGGATCTGTCAATTACTGATAGAGTGGAGTCTTGACGTCTCCAAGTATAATAGCGGATTTGTTTCTTTCTCTTTGCATTTCTATAAGTTTTTGTCTAACATATTTTGACGCTGTTGTTAGATACATTCACATTAAGGATTGCTGTGTCTTTCTTGGAAAGTTTACCATTTAATCGTCATGTAATACCCTTTTTTATTTCTGATAATCTTCCTTGCTTTGAAGTCAGCTTTGTCTGAAATTAACATGACTACTGCAGCTTTTTTTGTTTAGCGTTTAGCGTCATATCTCTTTCTCCATCCCGTTACTTTTAATTTAGTTGTATCTATATTTTATATTTAAAGTGGATTTCTCATAGATAACATATAGTTAGATCCTGTTTTTTTTTTTAAAAAAAAGATCCACACTGATAGTCTTATAATTGATATGTTTGGTTATTAACATCTAATGTGATAATTGATATTACTTAGATTAATACCTACAAAATAAGTGTTTTCTATTCTTGCCCTTGTTCTTTTTTTTTTTGTCTTCTGCTCTTTTTCTGCTTTCCGTGGCTTTAATTGAGCATTTAATATGATTTCATTTTCTCTTCTCACAACATATTCCGTTTTCTCTTTTCTCAGCAAATGTACATTTAAAAATTTATTTTTTAGAAGGAGGATAAAGCAAGGAATAAAAACTTCTTAATGATAGCCCTAGAGTTTGCAATATACATTTACAATTAATCTTAACTCACTTTTAAATAACACTGTGCCACTTCAGAGCCAGTGCAGGTAACTTAAAATCAGACATTTCCAGTTCCTTCTTGTTGTTCTTTATAGAATCGGTATCATTCATTTCAGTTATCTGTAAACTATAATCAACCAACATGCCTGTTACGCCTTTTGTAATTATCCCATTGTTCTTAGATATTTTGTCTTACTTTTCTCCTACTCTTCTTTCTCTTTGCTTTTCAGTTTAGGAAGTTTCTGTTGACATGTCTTCAAGATCACTGATTCTTTCCTTGACTGTATCCATTCTACTAATGAGCCAGTCAGAGGCGCTCTTTATTTTTGTTACAGTGTTTGTGAACTCTAGCATTTCCTTTCAATTCTCTCAGGGATTTTGTCTCTGCTGACATTACCCATCTTTTCTTGCATGTTGTCTACTTTTTCCATTAGAGCTCTTAGCATATCAATCATATTAATTTTAAAGTCGCAGTCAGATAACTGTAAAATATCTGCCATATCCGAGTGTGCTTCTTTTGCTTGATTTCTCTCCTCAGCCTTTCTTCTTTTTAGAGTACCTTGTAATTTTGTTGTAAGCCAGACATGATGCATTGGGTAAAAGGAACTGAGGTAAATAGGCTTTTAGTGCGAGTTCTCACATTTTTGTAGCTTTGGGTGTCAGAGGGTAAAATTTTCTCTTGTGTCTTCCTTGTGTTTTCCTCCCCTTTTCTCTTAGATTTTCCCTGTTGAATCCTTAAATACTGTGTGAGCCTTGAACTTCTGCCGTAATTCCGTATTATTTTATAGGACCCCTTCTGATGAGAAGGCATCGGGAAAAGGGAAACGTTCTGTAATCCTGTGCTTAGATCTCTCTAGTGAGCCTGTGCCACTTGGCTGTGACCTTCACAGCTGTTTCTCAACTTCCCCGCATCCCCTCCCCGCCCCCGGCTACCAAATTGAGACAGGAAGGTGTGAGCGGGCTGGAGTTGGGTATTTCCATCAGTTCCTGTTGGTCAGGCTCTGGTAAATCCCAGGTAGCCTAGGCTCTGCTAAATCATTTCTCTGTTTGTTAAGGAGAGCAGAATGCTTTGGGCTTCTTTCACAGTGGTTGCTCTTCTCCCCTTCCATGAAGCACAGAGGGATTTTTTTTTCTAATTTTTTCACCCTTAGAACCTGGTAGGGCTCTTAGAGGTAAAACTCAGCAAAGTACAGGAGACCCCTTAAGACCGGGCCCCCAGGAACTTGTTGTTGTTTTTGTTGTTGTTGTTGTTGTTTTTAATCTCTCAAATTAGTTTACCACTCAGTCTCTGGCAATTCGGCAGTTACCCTTGAGGCATTCCTACCGGTTGCTGGCTCCAGCAGGTATTTCTGCTCCTACTATGCTGTGATTCTCTGTGTTTGCCTGTCTCTAGATTTCGGTATGGTGGTTTGCCCTGTGACCTGAGTTTTCTAATGAATCTATGGAAGAGTTGTTTGTTTTCTGTTTGCTCAGCTTTCTTCTTACTGTGAGTATGGTAGTGACAACGTCCAGAATCTCTATTTGCTAACCAGAAACCCGATACATCTCTAATCTGGTATTAATTTTGGAAATACGGCTCCCTGCTTTTTAGAATTTGAACTGTATCTAGATTTTCAGCACATATAGCCATTTCCTATGATACAGTCTCTCCTTTAGCCCTCACGTAGTCTTAGTTCTACAGGCACCCCTATCTTTTATGCGCATTAGGAGTCCTTAGGACAATGTATCTCTAGTTATTTTGATTGTCTGAAGCTTATACTCTGGAATATTCCTCAGAAAGGCATCAAGAGAATAATCCCAGAGTTTTTTCTGTGGATAGTACATAAAAATTTGTGTTCTTTTTACATGAAAGTCAATTTTACAGGTATAGAGACTCGACAGTTTCTTTTCTGGAGTGTTGTCGATGTGTTACTCTATTTCTTCTGGCATAAAGCATTGTTTGAAAGTCTGGTGATACAATTTTATTTCCTGTAATTTTACTGGAGTATGACTTGGTGTAGGGCGTAGGTCATTCTGGTCTGATTATTTCCCAGGTATGTAGTATGCTCTTTAAAGTTTGAAAATTGTATTAGTCTGTTTTCATACTGCTACAAAGAACGGCTCAAGATGGGTAATTTATGAAGGAAAGAGGTTTAATTGACTCACCATTCAGCATAGTTGGGGAGACCTCAGGAAACTTACAATCATGGCGGAAGGGAAAGCAAGGTGCCTTTTTCACAAGGCAGTAGGATGGAGAAGTGCTGAGCGAAGGGGGAAGAGCCCCTTATAAAACCATCAGATCTCATGAGAACTCACTATCGGGGGAACAGTATGGGGGAAACCACCCCCATGATTCAGTTATCTCCACCCGGTCTCTCCCTTGACATACGAAGATTATGAGGATTACAGTTCAAGATGAGATTTGGGTGGGAACACAGCCTAACCATATCAGAACTTTTAAATACCTTTTATTTCAAGAAAGTATTTTTATTGTGATTTTTAGTCTATGAGCTCTTTCCTTATGTTCTTTATGGTTTTCTGGGGTCTGTATGTTGATTTTTTTGCCCATCTTTAATATTTGTCACTTTTGCCCAGATCCCTGTTCTTGCTTCATTTCTTTGTTTTAAAAGAAATCCCTCATGCCTATAATCCCAGCACTTTGGGAGGCCGAGGCAGGCATATCAGGTGAGGTCAGGAGTTCGAGACCAGCCTGGCCAACATGGTAAAACCCCGTCGCTACTAAAAATACAAGAATTAGCCGGGCGTGGTGGTGGGCACCTATAATCCCAGCTACTCTGGAGGCTGAGGCAGGAGAATCCCTTGAACCCGAGAGGCGGAGGTTACAGTGAGCCGAGATTGCCCCGCTCCACTCCAGTCTGGGCAACAGAGAGAGATTCCATCTCAAAAAAAAAAAAAAAAAAAAAAAGAAGAAATCCCCACTTTAACTTCTGTTTCTTGTAAAGTATTACGTATTGTGTTTATTTGCTCTTATATGTCTTTGAATTTAGCTTTCATTTCTGAAATAATTTTTTTTGTTTCTAATTTTTTTCTTAAGTTTTGTCCCTTTATTGCTGAATTTTTGGAAATCAGATTTATGTTTCTGTTTTGTGTCATGTATCATTGTTGTAATGGCTTTTTACCTTGTTTTGAAATAGTCAATTATAGTTTTGCCCTGTGTTCTGGGCATCTTTTTGGTTAGTGAGTTTTCATGGTCAATGATGTTCTTCTACACTTTCTTTTTCCTTTTATTCCATAATAACGTTATGGGATTTGCTCCCAATATTTTTTATGTTGCTCATTTTTAAATGAAATTAATTTTCCTAAACTTTCAGAGGAAGGCTTAGTTCTAGATAGCTTTTCTAACTTTACAGAGCTCTGTCCTCTGGTTGATTTTATGTAGTTTTCAGAAATACAGTGGCTTGCTTTCAGATGACTTGGTTCAGTCCTTCTGCCCACTTTTATCTGGATCTTCTCTATCCTTGGTCTCTTTTTCTCTCTCTTTTTAAAAGCGTTTTATTTTTACTTACTGCTCCTTGTGGAGTAGGGCTACCCTATAGGCAGTGTGCCTCTATCATTGGTCTCTATTATTTCTGTCTTATCCAGCTTTGATTCTAGGCCCTGTCCTGCAAGGGAGCCCTAGGTGGTCAGTTTCCAGGTCACAGGGCCTAGACTTGTCCTAATCCATCAGACCCTACTGCAGGCCCTGCTGTTGGAATGGGCAAACCCTTCCTAATTTCAGCTGCTATTCTCACAGAGGTCTTCTGGGCTTTCTGGTGAATTTGTTTAGCTATTCGGGGGTTCTCAGTTGTCAAGTTTGTTAGTTGCCCCTTGGGTTCTCTCTGCTTTCGTCACATGCATGCTGATATCATGCCAATCTTTGGGTTACTGGTAGCTTGTCCTCATCTACTTGTATTTTGGAGTTTTTTGTGGGGACACTTTATAACCTAGTTTTGTTGTAAATTGTGTCCTTGAATTTTTTCTTGCTGCCTAGTTTCTCTATTTTGATGTAGGGTTTCAGGATTCCTAAAATCTGCCATGCTGCCTCCACGTTTCCTGCACCTACACTTTTTCCTCCTTGGTACAGTGGGAAAAATAAGCTTCTCCTCAAATGAAGGATAATGTGTATGTAGTATCTGATGCAGACCAGGTACTCAAAAAATGATCATTGTGATGAACAGTTTGACAATTTCATACTTGTTGAGCAGTGGCATAGTCTGTTTTGAAGCTGCCATTGTGGGAGCTCTGATAAGAGGGGGATTTAGGGGTGAAGAGTCTAATGGGCCTTTGGGGTGAGGAAAGAACAAGAGGGTGAGGGTTTGTGGGTGTCATTGATGGCAGATTTGTTTGCAGTGTTGAGAGAAAGGTGGAGGGAATGGACTGGAGCAGGACTGGGAGAAGAGACATCACACACAGTGAAGACGTAGCGAGGCCCTGGAGCAGATCAGAAGAAACACACCTAAGTTTGACTTAGGGGCTGATTGATGATCAATGTCAATCTAGGTGACTGGTTATAGGATTGGAGAAGGCAACACTTGGAGGCCAGGATAAGGGATGACATGTGGGGAGAGAATCAAAATCCAAGGTTAAAAATAATGGTTGAGCTGCCTACGAGACCAAATCATGTTTTGCCTTCGGGTAAGAGCAGGTGGCACACCATGGTCTTCTAATATTTAGTGACTGTTGAGGGACTTAGAACTCTTAGAGCTCCAAGAGTCATGTGGCTTTTGTACAGACAGCAGGTTTAGGATTCCAGCTCCTCCTGCTTGAAAAGAAGGTTTACTTTTCCCAGGGAAATGTGGGGCCAGGTTCAGGTGAGAAGTATGGGGGAAGGTTGAGGCGGACGCAGAGAGCTGCTGCTCAAGCGGAGAATGGAGAGTGATAGAGAAACGTCTGACATCAGCCCCTGGGAAGAGGGTGCCGGTGCCTCACCTGGGCGGCTTGTTTAGGGGTCCGGGGGGTTGAAGATACACCCAATTTTCTGAAATGCAAAGTGTGCACAGTTAATACTGCTCATGTCTTAACTTTGGCAAAAAAACAACCTGTGTACTTAAACTCCTTGTCTTTTGAACATCATAAAATGCCATGCAGTTGGCAAATTGTGGATGCAACCGGTGGCATATTTGTTTAGCCAGTAAGACAGTATCAGAATTAATCAGCTTCTTGTTTGGAAACAGCTTTTAGGGGGTTCTCTCTGCTTACTAGTTCTGAAATCACAGACAAGTTACATAACCTCTTGTGTCTCATTTTTCTCATCTAAAATTGAGAGGGAAGAAGAGACTACTATTGCCTTGTAGGGTTATCGTGAGAAATAGGTGAATTGATAAAGTTCTTAGAACTGTGCCAGTCATGTTTTAAGCATTTGGTAAGCATTAGCTATTGTTGTTTGTTATTACCTTATTTTTTTTTAATTTTTTTTTTTTTTTTTTTTTGAGATGGAGTCTCACTCTGTCGCCCAGGCTTGGGTGCAGTGGCGCGATCTCGGCTCACTGCAACCACTGCTTCCTGGGTTCAAGCAATTCTCCTGCCTCAGCCTCCCCAGTAGCTGGGATTACAGGCACCCACCATCACACTTGGCTAATTTTTGTATTTTTAGTAGAGATGGGGCTTCACCATGTTGGCCAGGCTGGTCTCGAACTCCTGACCTCAGGTGATCTGCCTGCCCCGGCCTCCCGAAGTGCTGGAAATACAGGCATGAGCCACCACGCCGGGACTGTTCTAACATTTTTGATTCTAGTGAACACATATGTAAAGTGCTCAGCACAACACAGTGATGTAGTGGTCATTACATAAATAATCTTTTTTCTCTCTTTTATTTGTTTCATTTTAAAGATGAGGAATTTGTGCTCCAGAACAATCCAGTGATTTTTCTCAGGATCTCATGGGATGACAGGGCAGGTCTCACCTGCTAGGAACTGTGCGTTCTTTGCTTTGCTTTTGTGTCTTATTTTATTCTAGATAGGAAGGAATTTTCCATTCAGGTTTATATTATTTTTATTATGGTTGGAATTGCTGTCATAAAGGACATTCCATCCAGGTGTCAATAATAATTTTCCAGTTTGCAAAGAAGAAGCTCAAGATTTAGAATCTGGAAACCTTGATTGTACTCTGTTCTGATTCTGCTGGCCCGTGGAATCTTAGAATACCTTTACTTCTCTGGCCCACTGTTTTCTTATCTGTAAATTGAGGAGCTTAAGTTGTTTGATTTCTAGAGTTCCTTTGGCTCCAACATTCTATAACCATGATTTCTAAAACTGCATAAGTTTTGTGTTACACAAATAAAATAGTTTATGCTAGAAAAATTAGTCAATACAAACAAGCTAAAAAGAAAAAAGAAGAGACAGAGGAGGAAGGTAGTTAGAAATAAAACAAAATGGACTCTGGTCCTTGAAGGTTTTATTAACCCTAAAAAAATTTTCAGGCACTTCCCTTTTAATGGGAGTTTCAAAGCACCTTAGTACTTTTATGGTACAAGTCTGCCTGTCAGAGTTCTCCAGAGAAACAGAATCCATAGGCAATATATATATGGAGATTTATTATGGAAATTGGCCCAGGTGATTATGGAGGCTAAGAAGTCACATGATGTGCTGTCTGCAAGCTGGAGAACCTGGACAGTTGGTAATGTAATTTAGTGCAAGGCCAAAGGCTGGAGAGTCATAGGAGGGGTGCGTGTCAGTGATGCAAGTCCCAGAATCTGAAGGCCCAGGAACCAGGAACTCTGATGTCTGAGGGCAGGAGAAGATGGATCTTCATGAATTCTCCCTTCCTCTGCCTTCTTATTCTATTGAGGCGCTCAATGAATTGGTTATTGCTCACCTGCATTGGCAAGGGTAGGTCTTCTTTACTCAGTCCCCTGATTCAAATGCTAATCTCTTCTGGAAACACCCTCACAGACCCTGGAAAAGAACATTTTACCAGCTATCTGGGTATCTCGTAGCCCAGTCAAGTTGACAAATAACATTCACCATCACTTTCTGTATTGTATCCTAGTGTTTTATTTCATCTCCTTATTGCAGAGGAAGCTCATTGAGGGCAGCAGCTGCATCTCACTCATATTCTATCCCTGTCCCACCAAAGAAGTACAGTGGCTTGCAGAGTAGCTGTAGCTCACCAAGTTTTGTTAATACCATCCAGTGACTGCATATCTTAGGTGGCTTACTATATTTTTCTCTTTAATTCTCTCAGGCATCTTCAGAAATAGTTTTTCTGTGTATTTTTTCCTGGAGCAAAAACTGTGTGTTTGGACAAGAATGATGTGGGCTCCATAATTTAAATACCAGTGTCTTGGGTCTGTCTGTCTTCTTTCTCCTTAATGTCCTGATGGACTCATAGACTCCAATTAGTGACCAGCTCATGGGGGGTTCTCAAGATAGGTGAATTTGCTGCTATTATGTGTAGAAACAGGGGCCATCTTTTTTTTTCAGTTGTCATTTATGTTCAATTGTTTTGTCATTGATTGAGAGAGGACTTAATTGTGATTGATAGACCCTTTATCTATAAATAGTAGAATTCAGTCAAGTATTCAAAATTTCAAGTGTTTTGAAAACTTACTACTGAAGAGTTTCAGTAACCCTGCACACTAATTAGTTGTGAAATAAGGAAAAGCTTTCATCCCACCGTGATATTTTAAAAGTTTTACCTTATGAACAAAATTCAGAAGAAAGCTTTTTATGATTCTGGTGTGTTGGTGAATATGATATTTTTATTATTTATTGATATCAAATATTTTATTGTCTGTCTTCATTTTAATACATTGTCAGAACCTGCATACGTAAGTAGATCAGAATCTGTGTCCTACTACCAAGGGTGAAATAACTTCAGCCATGCGACATGGGCAGGCGTTTTAAGCAGCATCACGGAGATGCAGAGCTCAAGTTGGTCAGCATTGCTGCCCGGTGCTGACATCTGGCCAGCTTCCACATTCCTGTGGAGCCTCTGATGAGGGTTATTTAAAGCTGTGGCTGTTTCTAGTCCACCAGGGAACCAAAATGGAAAAGCCATTTACACCGTGCTGTATGTTAAGATCCAGTTAATTCTTTGTGGTCTAGAACTCTGGGATGATTTGCATTAACGTGGCTGTCTCTGTGCACAACTGCCGAGGGTTCTGTCTACAGTGCAACTTGTAGAATCTTGCAGAATTGGAATAGTGCAGCCTGCAGTGCTAAAACAAGGCAGACTCCTTTGAATATTCTAGAAGGTATGGTGGTTCTTCCAGCATGTTACATTTGAAACCACAAGAGGTGTGAAAAAGCCCTGGCCGGGCGCAGTGGCTCATACCTGTAATCCCAGCGCTTTGGGAGGCTGAGGCGGGTGGATCACGAGGTCGGGAGTTCGAGACCAGCTTGGCCGACGTAATGAAACCCCGTCTCTATTAAAAATACAAAAATTAGCCAGTTGTGGTGGTGCGTGCCTGTAGTCTCAGCTACTCGGGAGGCCGAGGCAGGAGAATCATTTGAACTCGGGAGGTGGAGGTTGTAGTGAGCCGAGACTGTGCCACTGCACTCCAGCCTGCGACAGTGAGACTCTGTTTCAAAACAAACAAAAAAGTGATGAATCCTTTGCAGATAGCAAAGGCCTTTTTAGTGGCTTTCATTCGGAATGCACAGTCTGTGAGCTGAACTGGTGATTGCAGTCTAGTTTTTATGACCAACGTTACAGAACCTTTCATTTAGAGTCCAAGATGGCCAATGCTCACCCATGAGAAGATCTTAGAAACTTCCAAGTTCCATATCATTTTGTGTGTTTTCAGGCCTCATTTCCCGTGTCTCATCCTGGCTTTGTTCGCCCTCATCTGTCTGGATGTAAGTGCCATTCTGTGACACTAGAACTTTTTCCCATCTCTGAAGTGCTACTAAAGGAATCATTTGCTTCCTAATTTGCCAGATTGAAAACTATGGAGACAAGTTCCAGAGTTCCACATCTTTGTGATAAGTTGGGCCACCTTGGGAACGAGTCTGTAATGTCATCTTACAGGGCTGTGGATTTTATCCTGCTTATTTTGCCTTCCTTATATTGTCTACTTTATCCTGAAGAAGAGGAAAAAGCGGGACCTATTTCAAATACTGATACCTGCTTCCATGAGTTATCTAGACATAATGATTCTTTCTCTAGGAGTTTTAGTTTTTCGATTTTTCTTTTTTTTTTTTTTTTGTTTTTTTGAGACGGAGTCTCGCTCTGTCGCCCAGGCTGGAGTGCAGTGGTGTGATGTCGGTCACTGCAACCTCCGCCTCCTGGTTTCAAGCAATTCTTCTGCCTCAGCCTCCCAAGTAGCTGGGACTACAGGTATGCACCACCATGCCCGACTAATTTTTTGTACTTCGGTAGAGATGGGATTTCACTATGTCCTGAAATCCTGAACTCCTGAGCTCAGGCAGTCTGCCCACCTCGGCCTCCGAAAGTGCTGGGATTACAGGCATGAGCCACCACACCTGCCCAGTTTTTTTATTTTTTATTTTTATTTTTTTTGACAGGTGGCTCACGCCTGTAATCACAGCACTTTGGGAGGCCAAGTCAGGTGAATCACCTGAGGTCAGGAGTTCGAGACCAGCCTGGCCAACATGGTGAAACCCTGTCTCTACTAAACATAGAAAAATTAGCTGGGTATGGTGGTGCATGCTTGTAACCCCAGCTACTCAGGAGGCTGTGGCACGAGAATTGCTTGAAACTGGGAGGTGGAGGTTACAGTGAGCCAAGATCATGCCACTGCACTCCAGCTAGTTCTTTGATTTTTCTGAATTTACTCCATTAAAATACTGACCACTCCTTCCATGTTATATCCTGTATTAGTATGTTCTCACACTGCTATAAAGAACTACTTGAGGCTGGGTAGTTTCTGAAGAAAAGAGGTTTAATTGGCTCACAGTTCCACAGGCTGTACCTGGAAGCATGGCTGGGAGGCTTCAGAAAACTTATAATCATGGTGGAAGGCGAAGGGGAAGAAATCACGTCTTCGTGATGGGAGCAGGAGAAAGAGAGAACAAATAGGGAGGTGCTAACACACTTTCAAACAACCAGATCTGGTGAGAACTCACTCACCATCATGAGAAAAGCAAGGGGGAATCCACCCCCATGATCCAGTCACTTCCCACCAGGTCCCTCCCTCAACACAAACGATTACAATTCAACATGAAATTTAGGAGGGGACACAGAGCCAGACCCTATCATATGCCTTCCCTGTTTTTCATCTCTGTGCTCAGATAAGCCTGGGATTGACTCCATCACCCGTGAGTTGTGTAGGTCCCCTGGGTGCATGGTGTACTCTCTACCCTAAAGCATTTCTCAGTTTGTCATCCTACGATAAGTAACATCTCTTTCTGAACTGCCATTGTCTTTCTAAATCCACCTCTCAGTGTCCATGATTCTTATACCTAGCGTGTTAGGTGGTTGGTCCATATTCTCTGTTCCGTAAGTTGTGTGGTCGTGTAGCTTATCCTCCAAACCAGGACATTTTTTAGAGGGACAGCTGGTATAATCCAAGACCATTCCAGGCTAATCAGGATGTGTGGTCGATGCTGCCTCTAAGAGAATCTCCAAGGTAGAGACGGCCGGCGCTCTGAGTGTGATCAGTAAATATCCAGTCAATAAGTGCCTGCGTGAGTCCTTGATTGTCTTTCTTTTGAAATTATTGAACCAACTAGTTCCTTTTGAGCATTTTCCTGCTGATTCCCTTCCTGGCTCAAGAATAAAAAAATCATAAATCACAGGGACAGTGCCAGCAACCTCACCCTGCCCCCACACCCCACAAATGCTTCCCTCCCATTGATTTTGCTTCCCTCTGTTCATTTTGGCCAGATCCAACGTTCACCTAAATAACATTCCTAAAGAGGCTAGAGTAGAATGATAACCAAGGCACTGTAGTATTTAACTGTGCACGTCAACACGTTTTCTTAGTTACTGAGTTGAATTTTGAAATGTATTCTACTCTGAAAATGCCCGGGCAAAGCATAGTTGAATATTGCTTTAGGAATTTTAATAACAGTTTGTTCTCACTGCTTTGGGGGAGCTCATTCTGAATGGTGTCTGGTTAGCAGGAGCATTAGAAGATGTTATCAACACAGCAGAAAATCTACCAGGTGTGATTACGGTCAGCAAGGCACCAGTAGCGGGTCAGTGGTACAGCCTGCTCCCATTTTCCCGACACGTTCAACGGGGGCAGCTTTTGTACTTTTAAATAACCCATTCTATTTCGGTAGACCTTTTCTCCCTTCTTTTCTAACAGCTCAGTTTCCATACAAGACTCACAGTGAACTCACCATTCCCGAGTGGAAAGGAGTGACTGGTTGTATAAATATGTCTGTCTCCACTTGGTCTTTGCCTGACCGGGCTTTGTGGGGGTCTGTTGATTCTTTCAGCTTCACTGCCTTCCCTGCAGACCCGACCTGGAGTCCTTTGTTGCCCTAAATATTTTTCTCAAAGATCTTTTATTAACTTTTTCTTTTCTGCTCTTGTTTTTCTTCCTCTTACCTACTTTACCATGTGGTCCTGTGGCAAGAGTGAGAAAGAAAAATACATTCTAGTGGTGTGATCGGCTGAAGCAACGACTGAATTTCTCTTCTCCATTAAAGAAAAAGAAAAGAAAACACAACTTTTAAACTTTTTTAGTTTCTCTCCTGCTAAGTGTTTGTTGAAAGGACACAATGAAATGACTGAAAAGAACCAGTTTTCCCTCATTAAATCTGTCCTCGTGAACCTGAGCTTGTGAACTTTGCACTTTTTTGAGAAGAGCAACATTTTTTTTTCCTTGCTAATTAGTTGCTTGTGCTATTTTCGGAGAAATTAAGGGAAGATGGGAGTACCTTCAGTTTTCTTTTGACTTCAGTGACTCTCAGATGGATGGTCTGCAGGTGTGAGACACTGCTAATTGTCTGCCAGTTGCAGCTCACCCATCTTTCTTGGTAATAAAACCCCTAATTTTTAGCTGGCACGTGGTCACCCAGAAGCCAGCCTTGTAGCTAGGCATCACTGTGTTACTGAATTTTGATTAATTGCTTGTAAGTGGAAATACCTTGTACAACTTCTTGGAAGTGTCCTGAAGGAGGAAGCCTTCTTTATCCTTTCCTTTTTCCTGAGAGGAATGTAGATGTGATGGCTGAGCTCAGGCTGTCGTCTTGGATCTTGAGGTGTGTTTTAGTCAGCTCTGGCCGTTATAACAAAAATACTATAGACTGGGTTACTTAAACAACAGAAGTTTTTTATTCGTGGTTTTGAAGCCTGGAAAATGCAAGATCAAGGTACTGACGGATGCATTGTGTCCGGTGAGGGCTGTCTTACTGATTTGTGGAAGGCCACCTTCTTGTATCCTCACCCAGTGGAGAAAGAGATCGTGTCTCACATGTCTCCTCTTATGAAGGCACTTAACCTCATTCATGAGGGCTCCACCCTCATGACCTAATCACCTCCCAAAGGCCCCGCCTCCCAATACCATACACTGGGGATTCGGGCTTCCGTATATGAATTTTTTGGGGAAAACGTTCAAATGTGTAGTCCCTAGCAAGGTGGGAGCCATGCATAGGGGATGGCTTGGTAACGGGAAACCAGGGGCCTCTGGACTGCCTATGAGAGAAACTCCTGTTTTGTGTAACTCCTGTTGAGTGTGGTTTGCTCTTACATGAAGCTGAGCATAGTCTTAACTGATACATCTATGAATCTATTTAATAATCTTGTTTGTTATCAGGGATTTCTGGGGAGATTTTTTTCATGTCAGACTATACATCTCAGGGATAGAGCAATGCTTTGTCTGGTGGACAGAAAAATCTGAACTCAAAGAAATAAAAATGTGTGAGATTTCTGCAGCGTATAAAATCTTAACCATGATGTGGGAAACCACTATCAGGATTCTGTTTAAAAGCCACAAAAATGCTTTTCTTCTTCCCCTTAGCCTCTTTCTGTGCCATTCTGTAACAATTCAGTCCTAAAGCCATTAACTGGGTGTATTAGTTTGTTTTCACACTGCTAATAAAGACATACCAAGACTGTGTAATTTATAAAGAGAGAGGTTTAATGGACTCACATTTCCACATGGCTGGAGAGGCCTCACAGTGATGGCAGGAGATGAAGGAAGAGCAAAGGGACATCTTACATGGGGGCAGGTAAGAGAGCGTGTGCAGGGGAACTCCCATTTATATAACCATCACATCCTGTGAGACTTATTTACTGTCACACGAACAGTATGGGGAAACCACTCCCCATGATTCAGTTATCTCCATCTGGCCCCGCCCTTGACATGTGGGGATTATTAAAATTCAAGGTGAGATTTGGGCGAGGACGCAGCCTAACCATATCAGTGGGACAGGAAAACAGAGGCGTTCAGGGGTGGCCTGCGGGGGAGCATTGGCGCCTTGGTGAAGGGAGCAGCCGTGCGGGTTGGGCAAGTCGGGGCCCAGGCAGAGTGAGGAGGGCGTCCTGGTGGAGGTGGCCTGGCATGGAGTTTAGTATCAGGGCAGAGTGAGGAGGAAGGGGTGATGGGGAGATTGGTTGCTCTACATAGTGGAACACGTGTTGGATAATTGAAAGGGCTCGCAAGATTCCACAGCACCTGCTCACGTGAAGACTTAATAAAAGCACAGGAGGTGGTTCAGCTGTAGGAAGAAAGCACAAGCCAGCATCAGTGACCCAAGAGACTCACTGTTGTGGCTCCAAAGGGCACATTTTGTCTCCAGATTATGAACCATCAACACGTGTCCAAGGAATCTTGGTGTCAGGAGAGCCTGGGCAGAAACATCAAGCACTGTCTTCTGTGCTTGGCCAGTCACCAAGCCAACCCAGGCCCTGTGTCCAGGTGTAAGGCATCGATCCGATCCGCACCTCCCTGAATGTTCAAGCAAGCTGGCTCTGGGGACCACCAGGGGCGTTTTTAACTTTAAGCTGGCCCACTCCTCCTTATCTTGATTAAGAATCAGTACCAAACTTCCAGGTGTCCTTGCAGATGAGCACAGAGCTGTCCCGGTTTCACTGTAAGATAACCATTTTATGTAGCTCTATATAGGGGCATTTATTAAATAAGTAAACGGTTTAAAGGCCAACGAAGCGGAGTTCTCGTCGTTAGAGGAGAGAATTACAAATACGGGAAGGGAGAAAACTAGAATGAGCCCTGAGATGTATTGGAATTGGGTAGATTGGGGTGAACGTAGGGTGTTTAAAAATAGAAGTAGACAGTGAAATCAGTACAGGTGTTAGGAGTGTGTTATTCCCTAGCTCTGACCACTGAGAGGGGCCGAGGGTACCTGACTCCCCCCCACCCCAAAGTAATGAGCACATCTAGTGCCTGAATTTTGGCTTATAAATATTATTTCCCACAAAAAGGAACCAGAGATCATGGGATAAATGGCTGATTCCAGGACTGTGGCAGAAAAAATACAAGATGAACCTGAATATCTTGTGTCAGAAGGCAAGAAAGTGCTGCAAGAATGAGGGCGTGTGTCGAAAGGACTAATAAGCCAGCTTGGATGGACTCATACTGGCCAAATCAGGGGCAATTTAACCATCACTGTAAATAATAATGATAGATTATAACCCGTCAGCTAAAATAGCAAGCTGCAAAGCCATGCAAGTATAACTAAATAAACCATGATCTCCCAGCACCAATGCTCTTGACCTTTTGGAGTGGACGATTCTTTGTCATGGGTTCGGCTGCCTTGCGTGATGTAGGATGTGTGTCAGCATCCCTGGCTTCCACCCACTACACCAGTGCTTTACACTAGTGCCATCCAGCAGACAGAGAATGCCAGTCACCAACGAAATTTTAGATTTTCTAGTGGCCACAGTTGTTACAATCCAAAATGTCTCCAGACATTGTCAGATATCCCAATTGTGGGGGGTGGGGAAGTTGCCTTGATCGGGGACCAAAAGACACAATAAGTTTAGAGTTTGGTGAGGAACAGGATATTGACATTGTGTCAAAGTACCCGTCCTCCTTTTCCCAAATTTACTAATTACAAGAGGGGAAAACAAGACATTGACAATGGAGAGGCCAGGCAGACTTACGCGATCAAAGTGAAGATCCTTATCAATGGGATAAATGGAAGTCGTGTGTCCTAGGTAGGGTGCCATGACAAGAGCACAGTGTTTCTGCGATATCCCTGCCAAAGATGCTGATATGGTTTGGATCCGTGTCCCCACCAAACGTCATGTGGAATTGTAATCCCCAGTGTTGGAGGTGGGGCCTGGTGGGAGGTGACTGGATCACGGGGGCAAAGTTCTCATAAATGGGTTAGCACCATCCCTCCTGTATTAGGGTTCTCTAGAGGGAAAGAACTAATATTATATATATATATATGTATATATGTGTATATATATATGTATATATGTATATATGTGTATATATATATGTATATATGTATATATGTGTATATATATATATGTATATATGTATATATATATAGAAAGATAGAGAGAGAGTGAATGAGTTTATTAAGTAGTATTAACTCACACTACCACAAGGTCCTGCAATAGGCCATCTGCAAGCTGAGGAGCAATGAAAGCCAGTCCAAGTTCCAAAGGTGAAGAACTTGGAGTCCAACATTCGAGGGCAGCGAGCATCCAGCACAGGAGAAAGATGTAGGCTGGGAGACTAAGCCAGTTTAGCCTTTTTCTACCTGCTTTATATCCTGGCCATGCTGGCAGCTGATTAGATGGTGCCCACCCAAAATTAAGGGTGGGTCTGCCTTTCCCAGCCCACTGACTCAAATGTTAATCTCCTTTGGCAACACCCTCACAGGAACACCTAGGATCAATACTTAGCATCTTTCAATCCAATCAAGTTGACACTCAGTATTAACCATCACACCACCTTTGTACTGTATAGTGATAGAGTTCTCATGAGATCTAGTTGTTTAAGAGTGTGTGGTACCTCCTCCCAAAGCCCCACTTCCTCCTGCCCTGGCCATGTGATATGGTTTGGCTGTGTCCCCATCCAAATCTCATCTTGAATTATAGCTCCCATAATTCCTACATGTCGTGGGACGGACCTGGTAGGTAACTGTATCATGGGGGTGGGGCTTTCCCATGCTGTTCTTGTTATAGTGAATAAGTCTCACGAGATCGAATGGTTTTATGAAGGGGAGTTCCCCTGCATACGCTCTCTTACTTGCTGCCATGTAAGATGTGCCTTTGCTTCCTCTTTGCCTTCTGCCATGATTGTGAGGCTTCCCAGCCATATGGAACTGTGAGTCCATTAAACCTCTTTCCTTTATAAATTATGCAGTCTCAGTTTCGGGTATGTCTTTACTAGCAGCGTGAGAACAGGCTAATACCCCATGTGAAGATGCCTGCTCCAGCTTTGCCTTCCACCATAAGTTCCCTGAGGTCTCCCCAGAATCAGATGCTTCTGTGCTTCCTGTACAGCCTGCAGAACCATAAGCCATATAAACTTCTTTTCTTATAAATTACTCAGTCTCAGGTGTTTCTTTATAGCAATGCCAGAATGGACTAATACCGATGAATGAATCAAGAATCAACAAATGACAAATCTCCAGCCTGGGCAACAGAATGAGAACCCATTTCTAAAAACAAAACAAAATAAAACAAAAAAACATTTAAATCAAGCAAGAATGGTGCTGTGAGCCTGTGGTCTCAGTTGCTTGGGAGTCTGAGGTGGGGGGATTGCTTGAGCCTGGGATGCTGAGGCTGCAATGAGCTGTAATTGCACTACTGCACCCCAGCCTGGGCAACAGAGCAAGGTCATGTTAAAAAAAAAAAAAATTGTACATAGAGGGACATAATACAAAACAATTGCCCCTGCAATCTTCACAATTGCCAAGGTCACGAAAGTCAAGGAAAGAGAAATTCTCAGCTTAGAGGAGACGACAAAGACCTGACAGCTACCTGCAGCGTGAATTCTCAACCAGATCCTATTTCTTCCCTAAAATAAATGATTGGGACATTTGGAGAAACTTGAATGGGGGCTAGGATTAGATGGTCCTCATGTACTGGGTTAACTGTTTTAATGGTTGTATTGTGGTTATGTCCATTTTTGCTTGTAGGAGATATACCATAGACTTTATGGGGCATCAGGCCAGCAGCTTAATCTCAGTGGTTCAAGCTGGGAAAACAGGTTTTTGTATTGCATTTTGAACTTCTCTATAAGTTTGCAATGGTTTGAAAAAACAAAAAACAAAACAAAAAAAAAAACATGCGGCCGGACTCGGTGGCCCACGCCTGTAATCCTAGCACTTTGGGAGGCCAAGGTGGGAGGATCATGAAGTCAAGAGATGGATACCATCCTGGCTAACATGGTGAAACCCCATCTGTACTAAAAATACACAAATTAGCTGGGCGTGGTGGCACGCACCTGTAGTCCTAGCTACTGTGGAGGCTGAGGCAGGAGAATCGCTTGAACTTGGGAGGCGGAAATTGCAGTGAGCTGAGATTGCGTGGCTGTATTCCAAACTGGTGACAGAGTGAGACTCAGTCTCAAAAAAAAAAGCAAAAGTTGTGGTCAGTAGAAGTGATGCATATTTTCTTCAAAGCGTGCTGAGCCCCAACATCGAGACCCTTCCTGAGAAAAATTTTTATCTTATCCGTTTAAGGAAAAACCTCTACTGCAT
The DNA here is from genome assembly GCF_000001405.40 of Homo sapiens. Classification (NCBI taxonomy): domain Eukaryota; kingdom Metazoa; phylum Chordata; class Mammalia; order Primates; family Hominidae; genus Homo; species Homo sapiens. The sequence continues at coordinate 16,783,242 of NC_000010.11, read as the reverse complement.
TAACAGAATGTTCTTAAAGAAATAATATTGGAGGCTGGACACAGTGGCTGATGCCTGTAATCCCAGCACTTTGGGAGGCTAAGGTGGGAGAATTACTTGAGCCCAGGAGTTTGAGACCACCCTGGGCAAAATAACGAGAACCACATCTCTACAAAAAATACAAAATTAGCCGGGCATGGTGGCATGCACCTGTGATCTCAGCTACACGGGAGGCTGAGGCAGGAGAATCATTTGAACCTGGGAGGCGGAGGTTACAGTGAGCTGACATTGTGCCACTGTACTCCAACCTGGGCAACAGATTGAGACCCTGTCTCAAAAAAAAAAAAAAATAGGAAAAATTTACACATACACACACACACGTGTATATGCATATGTGTGTAAATGCTGACACATACAGTAAAGTTTTAGACCCCAGAGTAGAGGGGAGATCATTTCTCTCTTTTACTTTTGTGGCTCTGTATATATTTTCTTTATTTATAGTTAGAAAAACCATTCTTTAAGCAAACCTAATCTTACTGAGCAGATTAAACCACCATGATAATGTTTGAAGCCAGAGAGCAATCTGCATTTCAAATCAGTGCTTTGAAATGTCAACCAAAATATGTTTAGAAGAAATTGTGAAGGGTTTCAACTCTGATCATCTGATACCATGGAGGAGAATTTCTGGATGGGCACGGAACATAGCTGAAGCAATAACACTGGCGGCCTTCTGCTAGATAAAGTTTCTGTTTGGATGAAGTGGCTTCAAAAATAATAATAATTAAAATTTTTTAGCACAAGGTAAGGCCCCTGTGCACCTCTGCCCCCTTGGCTGGTCTTTCTGACTGGCACAGATAATTGAAATGGATCACTAATGGCTGGGCAAGCAGGTCGGGGCGCCACGCAGAGCTAACTGGCCCTCGTCATGTTGGATTCTGTGACATTAATCTGATTAGCTCTAACTTGCTGAGCTAATTGCACCGTTAGTTGCATGCCTTTTCTTCCTTTGGTTTAACATTGAATAGATCGTGTTACATGAATCCTAGCTTCTATTTTGGTGAGCGATAGTGCTTCAACCTGTGAAAATAACTTTGCCGTTTGCTTTGTAGGAGTACAGGTAGAATCCGGATACAGTGATACATTTACTGACTGACCTTTTTTTTTTTCTTTTCTTTTTAGTTACCTTATCCCATATCACACAACTGGTCCTCAGCCATAACAAGCTAACAAGTAAGTGATGTTTCTCATTTGTTACAGTTTCTGACATTTAGGTAATCCTATGGCACTGCTGAGTCTGTTACTGTTTCCTTGGGAGAAACTAATGAAGAATGATTATTTGCAGAAACCTTAGTTTACTTTGGTGACACTAAGATGAGAATATTGTCATCCTGTATTTTGTCCTTTTGTAGTTAGCTCTACTTTGAAGATTCTTTTCTTTTTTTTGAGACAAGGTCTTGCCGTGTTACCCAGGTTGGTCTTGAACTCCTGGGCTCAAGCGATCGTCCTGCCTTGGCCTCCCAAAGGGCTGGGATTACAGGCATGAACCGTGGCGCCTGGCCTGAAGATTCTTTCTTATCATGTTTATAAACCAAAGAGAAAAAAAATGACATTGTTGCTCTGGAAGTGGTTCCATTCAGAGATAGTAAATGCTATGCTGACCTGAATTGCCAGACCATTGGTGAGCATTTCATGAGCAAAACTTACTTGAAAGCATTGAAAACTTGAAATTGTTAGAACAAGTTCTTTGTTTTCATTTATATTTCCTCCTCGAAAGGGAAAGTTTTAACTGTTTAATACACTTTCTGTCCCTGCTTGATGGAGGAAAAGATGCAAAATTGTATACATGATATACCTTTACATCTGCATTTTTCAAATTTTTGAGTCTGGCTTCCCCAAAAGAAAAATTCTGCTGGGTATCCATAGAGCCCCACAGTAGACGTATCTGCTTAGCATAGATGAATGCCTATTTTTATATGACTATCTTGTGTGCATGATGGGCCGTTTTCTTCGTAGAGCTGTGGCTTTAAAGATTTTAATGACAGGGACCCACGCTCCTTTCCCATTCCTAATGACTCAGTTCTTTTTGCTTGCCATTTTTCTTGCAGACTTGAATGATTTTCTAATCATGTGGCAAGAATTTGTGAAGGAGCTTTCCGAGTCCAGTGAAATTGAGCAGAATGTCATGTTGAGGGATTTGTGTCATGAATTTATGTGTGTATGTGCATTATATACAGCTTGAAGCGATGTCACAGAGCTGTTGATTATTGAGAATTAAGAGTGGCAGCAGGGTCCCCTCATGTGCAAGAAACAAGTGGATTAGTCGTTGTTAGCCAAAGCGTATATTTGTAAGGCAAAGGCAGAGTGACGGCACAGTTGTCACACTTAAGTAGTGGTGGCCACAGAAGCCAAAAGTGAGACCTACAAGTCATGTGTGGTCATTGTTGTAACAGGTAATTTATTGCCGGTTCCATTGTTTTTCTGGGAAATGGTCCCGTGGTCCACAGAGACCAGATTCTCAGTTCAGAAGGGATTCATGGTCTGTTTTGAAGCGTGGACCACGTGATTCCTAAATCCCCCAAGATTTGTGAGCAGTAATAACTGACATGTTCTGTTGTGTAGTTTAGTAAAGTATTTCTTAATTGCTAAGCTTACCATTGTTACAACAATGATACCTTGTTTTGCTTATCTTGTGCAAACCAGTTTACACAAGAAAGCAAAACTGGCCAGGATCAGTGACCGATGCCTGTAATCCCAGCACTTAGGAAGGCTGAGGTAGGAGGATTGCTTGAGCCTAGGAGTTTGAGACCAGCCAAGGCAGCATACTGAGGCCCCCATCTCTACCAAAAATCAAAAAATTAACCGGACATAGTGGGTCCAGCACCTGTGGTCCCAGCTACTGAAGAGGCTGAGCCCAGTAGGTCGAGGTTGCAGTGAGCCATGATGACGACCCTGCTCTGCAGCCTGGACGACAGAGGTAGACCCTGTCTCCAACAGGAAGAAAGCAAAACCTTTATTTCTATTATATCATTCATTGATCTCTTCTTTAAAAACATCTTTCAGATCACTGTAGTTTATTTCTTTTTACATCTTCACAAAGATAGAAATCTCAGGAGTCAATGGATCAGTTTCTTCCTCCAGGCATTATAATATTAGGTTAATTTAGAGGAGCATATTTATATGTGGAGTTACATTGTGTTGGCCATTCAGGAGACTGACTGTGAAAGAATCCAAACTTTATATTTCTGCCTTGCCAGTTTTTTTTTCCTTTTCTTCACTCCATTTGAGACACTCTTGACCTAATCCAGTAAACTCTAATTAATAGTCTTGGTAAATTCTGTTTCAAGCCATCCTGAGTAGCGTCACTGACACCCGATCTGTTTCAGTAAGGTCAAATTAGCATCCTTTACTATTTTTCTGGCATTTAAATGAATGACTTTGCTATGGTTTTTCAAGTGTTTATAGTAAATATGTCCATTTGATGGAAATATAAATATGCATTAAGTGTAAGTGGCTAGGCACACCCTGCTGTCACTTTTTATGGTAATCAGTGTCTTTCACTTTCTGTTGTTTTTAATAGGGACCAGCTGACAACGCCACATTAAAACCACAGGGACTCAAAAGATAACTCCCCCACCCCCTCACCCGGCACTGCTTTTATCTTGCAAAAGTATTCATGTTTTTCTCTTAGTATGCCAATTACACCGTTCTCTGACATTTCCACTTATGTACTCATGGAAGGAATGAATGGTTTACTCAAACTGGGACATTGATTTGGGGACACTGTTGACTCCACTGACTTAAGATCTACAGGGTTATTGAAACAGTGTGGCACGTGGTTGACTTGCCTTTTCTTGCCAGTGGTTTTGGCCTTGACATGTCTACCCAGGGCAGTAAAAGTGAGGCGACAAGGAAGCTGAAAGTGGGATCTGTGATTCTGAAATTCCTCAAGAATCTGGGAGCAGAAATTCCTGAACTTTTAAATACTGCAGTTCATAAAAATATTAATGTATTGTCAAGCTAATTGCTGTTAATGCTCCAAGACTATTATGGTGCCCCTATTTGAATTTAAACCTGGGAGCTTGGGGCAGCGTTGATGGGTTTTTGAAGTCAGCGGGGGACTTAATCTGTCTGTAGCAACTTTCCTAGATATGTATATATGCATGATGTGTTTAAGGAGACGGGAAGAATAGTTGCAAGTGAATTTTTTTCTTCTGCCTTTTTGCTATGAATGGGCAGGTACTAACTTTGAATGCAACAAAGTCATTGGCAAAGTCAGAATGCAAAGCCATCCTGGCCCAATGGGAAGAGTTTCAGATTGAAGATCCTTTCGGAAATAATGCTTTCTTTGAGCACCTGCCTGTGATGCAGTACGCACCTGGCAGAAGGCTGGCTTACTCTCATGCACTCACTGCCCCTCTCTGCCTTTCAGAAACTGCCCTAATCTGCCCCACATCCCATGCCAGCCTCTCCTCTCCATTTGCTGCTCTAGGAAGATGGATCATCTTCTGTCCCCCCGTAGCCCTGCCTCTGGGCCCAGGATCTACTCTTGCCTGCCTCTCCTCCTCCCTCCTCCTCTCTACCAGCCTCTCCCCATCCTCCCCTGGGGGCCCCCTGGCTGGTCTGGCCCATCTGAAGCCTTTCCTCCCCAAACTCTCTTGCATGTAGACTCTTTAACTCTAGCATGGCATTCCCTGTCCTTCTCTTCCTTTGTGTTTTTTTTCTCTCTCCAAATAGATGGTCAGCTTTTGTGGAAGCATGGATCATTTCATATTCTTCCTGAATGCCTGTGACTGGGCCCTTAGTGGCTTCGCAGTAATTACCTGTATAAACCGAGTGTTCATTGCTCCCAGGAGGTATGTGAATGACAGGGAAGGGCAGAGAGGAAACTGCTGGCTGGAGAGAAAGTGGGGAACATTGGGATCAGATGGTTTCTTTGGGATTAACTGGTATAGGGACTTGAGTAGATGTGGCTGCCACAGACTTCTGTTTCTTACTCGTTGTGTGCTCATTTCAAACATGGTAGAGCGTGATGCTCTAAAGATACATGACCTTCAGCCTGGGCAACATAGCAAGACCCCATCTCTTAAAAAAAACATGAGCCAGGCATCTCAGCTACTGTGGAGGCTGTAGTGTGAGGATCACTTCAACCCAGGAGTTTGAGGCTGCAGTGAGCTGTGATTGTACTACTGCACTCCAGCCTGGGTGACAGGGCAAGACCCTATCTCAAAAAAAAAAAAAAAAAAAAGGTATATGACCTTATGTCCAATAAATGATGGCCATCTCATCTTTACAATCATAGAGCCAAGGAATGATGGGCTGTGATGTGTTACTCAGGCACACAAAGGACTCGCAGCCAGGGAAACTGTTTTCATGACCGCTCAGATGCGTGGGAAGGCAGCAATAATGCCGAAGGTCATCTTCCTGTGTTTCTTTGCTTTTCCTTCCTGCCCCTGGCCTCTGTGGTTACCCTCCCTTTCAAGCCACTGTCAGCTGAGTCTTTTTTAGTCTGCTCCTTAATCCAATCCCTAGGTTTTATGGTGTTTTGGAAGTGTGAGCTTTGTAAATGCTTTCCTACTTGTTTTTTGTTTTTAAAAAGGAGTTTCTTTTGGGGACAACCATTTTAAGACTTGTCCACTAGAGGTCACTGTTGAGACACATATGTCTCCTCCAGGTTTTGTACCTAAAGATTAGAAACCACCTTTGTTGTGAGAATAAATTTTGTGCAGGCTCTCCGGCCCTGCACCACAGGGCATGTTGCTATTGCTGCTTACACAGTGCAGTTTTTACCACATTTAAGGTAAATCCTTATAGAAGGAGGTATGCTGTGTTTTTTGTTCTCCTACCATGAAAATATTCAGTTTCACGTATCATTTTTTAGTGTTTATTATGGCTACTTTCTCAAATTAGAAACATTTCTCTTCCTCCAATATCCTTACGTTGAAAGAATTATACTGCTTTCCATAGTATTTTGTATTGGGCATATTTGAGTTTTTTTTTTTAATCTGTGGAAGAAAGTTTGAAGTATTTATGTAACCAGATTTTAATTCAAAAATAACTGTAAAAATCAGGAAAATGTGTATTTTGTGCATATTTATGCTGATTCGTATACTGCTCAATTCCATTGTGTTGGGGAGAATATGAAATGAATGTACAACAGGAAATGAATTGCATTCTGTAGCAGTGATAAAACAAGCTCTGGGCATTACGTTTTTAAGTGAAGTTTTCCTTAAGTTTTAAAAAAATTTTATTCCAACAGCAAAACCCACACGTAAACATTGCAAGCTACTACTGCACTCCAGCCTGGGTGACAGGGCAAGACCCTATCTCAAAAAAAAAATTAAAAAAAAATAAAAATATGACCTTATGTCCAGTAAATGATGGCCATCTCATCTTTACAATCATAGAGCCAAGGAATGATGGGCTTAAATACGGCAGTAGTTTTTTTTTTTTTTTTTAAATTTTGTGACCCATGTGTGTTGAGGATTAGACATTCGTCATTTTGTGCAAGAAATAACCAAGGATATCTTTTTGCTCTGTGCAAACATTGAGGAGCCGACATTTATGTAAAACTTTTCAAAAGTGTGGGTCTCTGAATGTAATTGTTTAGTTTTATACTTTTAACTGCCATGTAAAACCTTTTCCTGAGGTATTGGCAGTTTTGCCTACAATTTCAGGTCTTCACTGTGACCATATCTCATCATTTAATGCATCGGAAATGGCCAGGCAGGTAGTAAACCTAAGTTTTATGGCAAAATGTGGGTTTTTTTTTTTTAATATACACTATTTCCTATTAGTTACAGCTTATGTATGAATTTAGAATTATAACAAACAAGAAATACTAAGATACCTTCTTTGGTGGTTTCAATAATTTATTTATCAAAGATAATATTCTAAGTACATAGAATTTAATACTTTTAAATTTTATGCAGATGTATACATTGATTATCTACCATAAGTCATATTATAAACAAATTAAGCAGCATATTTCACATGAAAATACTGCATTCTTAAAATTTGTAGATCCAATTATAATGAAGAAAATTTAGCAGTTTTTAAAAAGCATAATACATTGAAACCTTTTTATGCAGACATAATAGATTGCTGGGATGATTGAGAAGAATTAACTGTCTGAATTCCTGAGGACGACCTTCACCACTCTTCTCAGACCTTGCTGTTCTTAAGTCTGTAGTTATTCCCTCCTTCATAGATTATTTGTCATGCTTTATGCAAAAGTTCTTGTGCATGGCTTGTATGAAATTAAACCATGAGGGGGGAATATGTAAAATAAATGGTCTCTGTGTCATGAATTTATCTTGTGACAATATCAAAACAACTTGCTGTTCGCATTTTAACAGAGTGTAAATGTGTTTATAATACAGAGGCTTTGATCAATAACTTATTTTTTTAAATTACTGCACATTTATCAGTTTGCTTCTCTGCCATCATTAAAAGATGAGAGTTAAAAAAATATGCATAGTATCTTTGAGTCTAACAGCTATTAATTAAACAATATCTATCTGATGGTACCGGTAGTCAGGTTACCATAAAAAAGCACTGGCAGTTGGGCATGTGTTGCGATTTTTTGGCTGTAGTGAGTGAGCACCTGAGATCATGCTATGGGAGGGTCTGTTGACCCAGGAACCCAGAACCAGTGCAGCCAAGGCCAGCGAATGAAGTCGAAGACGTGTCCTGCCGGTGGCATCTAATCTGTCCTCAGCTTGTAGACTGTGGCCACCCCCCACCCCCATTCCTTTTGTTGTCAGCCCCACCAACCAAAATGTACCTGTTCTAGAATCCTTTTTCTAGAGGTCCTGTTTTGTGCTAAGCGGAAGCCAGCTAACGTGCTAATTCCTCCACAATATATTTTTAAATGGAACCACCCCAATCGTGAGAACTTCAGAACGGTGGCAGGCTGTGGAGAAAATAAGACGGGGGAGTGTAAGCCTGTCACTTTCCAACTCATAATTAGCCCATGTGCGGGGCTGATCCTGAAAAAGGTTTCTATTGCTATTGATGATAGAATGTCTATCAAACAGAATTGATTTAATAGCAAAATATTATACGTACATTTTCAGTTGATGCCCTCTCTCCTATATCACTTGATGTGTGTGTACATGTGAGTATGTGTGCAGAATGATAGAGGAGATACACTAAGAGGTGCAATACTTAGGTACATACATTCTTGTAGAGCATCTCTTCTCTTTTTTTATGTTTTTATTTTTTAGAGATAGTGTTTTTATCACCCAGGTTGGAGTACAGTGGCACAATCCTAGCTCACTGTAACCTGAAACTCCTGGGCTCAAGCAAGCCTCCTAGATAGATGTGCACCACCACGCCTGGCTAATTTGCCCAGGCTGGACTCAAACTCCTGGGCTCAAGTGGTCCTCCTGCCTTGGCCTCCAAAAGTACCAGAAATACAGGCCACTGTGAGCCCCTGTGCCCAGCCTTCTTAACTTTTCTTAAGTCACTGATCTTTTTAAATAATAGAGTGAAAACTACAACCCTGATCTGTAGAGAAGTGCACGTGATGGTTGTAATTCCAGCAGAGGCTTGTGGATCCCATTGTGTTCATCCATGAATTCTTTAGAGGTCCATGCAGCTCAGATTTAGAAACTCCAGAATCGGATGAAGATAACACTAGTATGTTTGCATGCAGTGTGGACATAGGGATGCTATTTTTTTGTTTGTTTGTTTGAGACAGGATCTCACTCTGTCACCCAGGTTGGAATGCGGTGGCGTGATTTCGGCTCACTGCAACCTCCATCTCCCGAGTTCAAGCGATTCTTCTGCCTCAGCCTCCCTAGTAGCTGGGACTACAGGTGTGCACTGCCATGCCCAGCTAGTTTTTGTTTTTAGTAGAGACGGGTTTCACCATGTTGGCCAGGCTGGTCTTGAACTCCTGGCCTCAAGCAATCTGCTTGCCTCGGCCTAGTGATGCTATTTCTTAAAGGAGATGCTCCTTGGAGATTTGTATAAAACTTTAGATGATTTTTAATGCATCACAGAACTCATTCTTGATGACTTTTTAAAAAATATTGATAAGTGCCATCTTATTAATCTGCTTAAATTTACATTTTGTTAAATAAGAATTTGCAATCCTGTAGCTCCCAGGGTTGAACAGAACGTGTGTGGGCATATGGGCATATGCAGTTTTTTTTTTTTTTAACGGAATACCTTTCCCATTTCCATTTTTCTTTCTGTTCATCAGTCAGCCTCATAGACCAAAACCACTCAGATACAATTGATAACCAGTAACAAACTCATTGACCTTGCGTTTTGCTGTTTTCAGTCTGAACCCTCTTTTGTCTAATTTTTTGCTGGTTCTTTAGCTTTTTTCCCCTGCCTATCTATTCTTTGTTCTAGTCACCTGATTTTTTTAAAAAAACTGATGTTCCTACCCCTTTCTCTGAATTTGGCTTATCCTTCAGAAAGTTGAGATGAATGCTCATCTTTCTCTGTGAAGCCCTCCTTTTCATCCAACTGAACCAGCACTGTGTGGAAAGAAATACAAGGCACCCCACAGCCTGTGGGACCATCAAGAACAACACCTATATAATAACTTCAGCAGGAAGTGAAAGAGAAAAGAGTGAATTTGTTGAACCCCCACTCTGTATTACGTGGAGGAGGCAGGTGTAAAGTGATTAAGTGACCAGAATGAGGAGGCGACAGAGCTTTCTGTACAGCTTCCAAGTGGCTGCTCCGCCGTGTCCCCTGCTGCCTCTGCAAGTGATCTGTGTGTGCACTTGACGTCCCGTTAGGTCAGTGTAGGAGCTCCATGGACGAAGCGTTCCTGTGGCTCTGGATCCTTACTCCTTCCAGTCGAAGAACGGGAGAATTCCTAAGGTTAAAAGCCATAGTTGGGTTATTTCGAAGGGAATGATCAAAGCTCCCATGTGGATTTGGTGGATTTTCCTAGCCCTGGGCCTCTTCCTTTTCCTCCCCTTCCTGCCCTCCTCATGCAGTGACCCTAAACATAAGGTCTGGTAGGAAGAGAAGCAGTCCACTTGTGGCCTCTTGATGGATTTGATGGATTAATTCCTTTTCTTTTTTTTTTTCTTTTTTTTTGAGACAGGGTCTCAAGTTGTTGCCCAGGTTGGAGTGCAGTGATGCAATCTCAGCTCACTGCAGCCTTAACCTCCAGGCTCAAGTGATCTTCCCACCTCAGCCTCCGGAGTAGCTAGGACTGCAGGCATGCACCACCATGCAAAGCTAATTTTTTTGTAGAGGTGGGGTTTCGCCCTGTTGCCCAGGCTGGTCTGAAACTCCTGGGCTCCAGCAATCCACCCACCTCGGCCTCTCAAAGTGCTGGGATTACAGGTGTGAGCCACTGCTCCCAGCCTAGATTAATTCTTAATTGTGAAAGAAGACAGAAACTAATGACAAAACGTGCTTTTTCTGTGTGCATGTAAAAGAGTGCAAGATAGAATGTGACTTGCTGACTATCTACCTTGTAATGTTAATAATCGAGGCTTATGTGTAGATATACATCCATATATATTATACATAGTAAAGGCATGTACTCATATAAAAGAGCCTAGATCAGTCCTTTTATAACACTGAGACTGCTTTTTTCCATTGATGGATTGAAGTTTTTTTTTCTTGTTTTTTTTTTTTTTTTTTTTCATATTCTACTCCTCTCTCTTTCCAGTGTTTTGGAATTTTCTAGGCATTTTTCCTACCCTTCCTTTTCTTACCCTTCGCTGGATGTCACTTCCTCCCCAGGCCACTGAATGCCATTTCCTTTCCTCTCAGTGCTGCCTCTCCCTCCCAGCTCCCCAATTAAAGCTCTTTATTGATGTATGGCTTTGCTGGAGGGGTCGCACATCAGAATTGTAGTGCAATTTAGAAGTGGTGTTCCTGCAAGATTTCAGAGTTCATACGTCCTCCTGAAGATGCTTTGGGAGTTAACACAAGATTCAGGCATTAACTAATTTTTATATCCTCAGAGGAGAAGAAATCCATACTTGTCAGCTTTTTAGGAAATTTGTTTGGTTATGCATACATACTTTTTATAGCTCAGGAACATACATTTTTGCATGTTTGGCTTTATCCTCTAAAATCGACCTTATCACTTGCTTATGCCTTTTTTCCTCTAATTTTCACGTAATTGATTTTTCACATTGCTGGTGAAAGAGTAGGGCCATTGTTTTGCGGTGAGTTAAGCCAGGGGATATTTTTGTTTACTAAAATGACTTAGGCTATAGAATCCTGAGGCAGCTCATGATAGCATAGAGTGAGCGTGTGCTTTTGGGGCACAGGTCCCCAGTAATACTTGTTGTTTATTAACCAAAAGTACATTACCATTGTTATTTATAAAGCTAATAATTGGAGGATGTTGGCCTTTCTTGGCGTAGATGCTTAGATACTTTGCTATTTTATGTTTACCTTGAGGAACATGTAGAACCTTTTAAATGAGAATTTGCTTTACTGTTTCATAAACTTTATGTTTTTAAATAACCTGGAACTACCGTAATTCACTGCTTTAATAGCTGCTTTGGGGTAAATCCCATAAAATCTGTGAAGACAGTTATCATTAGTATACTTTTGAACATCAGAGTCTTGTGGTAATATGTAATTAGTTCATTATTGTCCACCTTGTGTTTTTGGCCAGAAAACAAAGGTAATTAATCACTATAACTACAAATGACCTTTTTTTTTGGCATATAAAGTGCTGAAGAATGTAATTATTCCTACGCGAGAGTGAGAAGATTCTTCTTTATGTATAATCATTAAAATGACATTGAGAACTATGATTTGCTGAAAGAATCGGCATGTATGTAATTAGTCTAGACACCACCTCTGTGCTATGAATGGACTCATGTTCTCCAGTTATTACAGCTAGAGATTAAAAAGGCTGTGCTTTTACTTTGACCATGGATGCCCCATGTCATATTTCATCTAGTTTCTGCTAATTTGATTTTTTCCTCCCTTACTTCATTCAGGCCAAAGGGGGACACTTGTTTTTCACTATCATATTCATCAAATGCTGGGGCAAGGAAATGTTTGCTTTCACCATTTTCTCATAAATGGTCCATCCCTCCCCTCCCGTATATATAATGAAGAGCCTCACTCATTTTCACCTATTCTCATGTTTTTAGTAATTTTTCTAGTGACTTGGTTGTAGTAATGTAACATACTAAGTTATCTAAATAACAAGCTAATTTTAATATCCTCTGCCATCCTCTGTCCTTCTATGCTTTATAAAAAAAGCTGCAGAAATATATGACATTGTGAACATCTGCCCAGGCATTTTCATTTGTTATGACAACAGACAAAAACTTCCTTTTTTTTTTTTTTTTTTTTTTTAAATAGCAATATGTCAGGTTTTTAGAAGCAATACTACTCAGTTTCATTTTGCTGTGACTCATTCTATGTAGTTTCTTTGGGGACTCTTTGGCCCAAGGATTGGTGGCACTTTTGCTTCCTGGAAATGGGCACGAGACAGTAGCGTTGCCTCCATTGCAGCACAAGGGCGGACATGCCGCGATGCCACCTGCTGTCCTGGCCCTGGCTGTGAGCAGTTGCCTCCCACGAAGTACCTGCCTTAAGTCCTCCTCTTCATCCCCTTGCTGTAATTCACAATCCATCACTGGAGGCAGAGGTTGAGCTATCAGTTCACTTGTTTCAAAGAGGCTGGGTCCCCTGGCTTTCATGCCCTGGGCCAGCCCTAGCTCAGGAATCACCAGCTCTGAAAACATCCTTTGGTGCTTCTGCAAAAACAGTTGGGTGTAGTGCAGCCCCCAACTCCCCAGAAGTTTGGTGGAGATGGTGGGTGGAGGTCACCTCCAGATTTCATGCCTGTGCTGCGGAGGGAAAGCGCCATGTGTTTGGAGCAGCTTCTGGCTTCCTGGCAGCCGTGGGTGTGTGTTAGCATGGTGCAGGGTCTAGTGCTGCCCTTCTGGAGCTGAAGAGGACCTGGCTGTCGGTGGTAACCATATGGCTCTAAAGACCAAAGTGTGACCCCCTGACCCTCCCGTGGGCTGCACCCAGGCAGAGCTCCTGTCCTTATGTTTTTTGCGTGGTGCCTGCTGCTCCCAGAGTCTGTCGCTCCTTACGGCTTTGATTTTTTTTTGCCTCAAGGGCCCCAAGATGCTTTTGCTCAAAAAGCCCCCAAATCAGCTGCACCCAAGCCGATCTGTCTGTACCGTCACTACCACCCAGCATCCTGCCATTAGGGTTCAGTGTTTTGAAGCCAAGCAGTAGAGCAGGTGACATCTCTTTGTATGACTACCCTTGGTCATGATGAATTTGCCACTGAGTGACTTAATTCAGTGTGCTAGGGAATTCAAGGCTTTTCTCCTCTGGAAAGTTGTCCGTCTTAAGCAACAGTGATCTTACCATAAAATGCTGTATGGGGAAGCAGAAGTTGACTAGAAAGGGTTTGATTGTAGCATCCACGTTGAACGTGTTAAGCTACCTAGAGTATCATTTGTTTCACGTGTCATCAGTTCCCCAGGCTCAAGAGGCATCTTTATTTGGATCAGATTGATTATTATACTCATCGCATTATCGCATGGGGTAAGGGACATATGTGTTGGATTGATAATCGTGATGCTGCCAATGAATTAAAAGTTTTCTGAGCCAAAAGAGGGTTCCCAGACCAGCAACATCGGCATCCCCTGGGAAGTTGTTGGAAATTCAGAGTCTCAGGCTTTACCCTAAACCTGCTAAATCAGAAACTCCGGGATACCCCTCCATCTGTGTTTTAGCAAGCCATCTGGTGATTCTGACGTCTCTGTGGTTTGAGACCCACTGCCATCGGGTAGGGCTGTGTAATAAAACATTTTGCGGTGATGGAAACGGTCAGTATCCCTGCCATGCAGTAGTGGAGCCACTGGTCACCACATGTGGCTGTCAAGCTCTTGAAATGGGGCTGCTGTGACCAACAATAGCATTCATCATTTTATTTAATTTTGATTAATCTAGATTTAAATTCAAACAGCTGCATATAACTAGTGGCTGTCCAACAGAAAGCCCAGCCCAGAACATACCCTGCTAATTATTATTGTATAAACTCCTAAAATGCTTTGAGTTGTTGGTTGTGGAATTATTAATTTTAGATCATAGAACAGAATCTTCCTTACTCTATTCAACAGAATTGAAACTGCGATTGTTACAACAGGTGATTTTGATTCTTCCTATGGAGGGGAGACAGTTTGTGGGCTGCTGACCAGTTGGGGGAAGCCTATTCTTGAGCTGATTGATTGTTGATTTTGTGAATGTGCATCAGTGGTGCAGTACCGGCTGGCACATGCCTGTTGCAGGTATTACCGATGGCCGTAGATACATGTCCTTTTAGGAGTAAAGCTGTTGCTCAGGAAGGGGCTGTGTCAGTATTTCACGCAGATGGACTTTGGTTTCTCCAGCCTGTCCAGCAAAGTGGAGGTGCTTCTGGCCAAAGAGAAGTTAATGAACCCTTCAGGCACTTTGGGCTGCTTGTGGAACCTTCCAGAAACTGCTGGGGGAGATGGGAGTGCTGAATTGCCAAGTCTGGGCTGGCACGTCAGATGGACAAAACTCTTGAATCACATTCAGTTCTTCAGTTTAGGAGGACCTGAAGGAAAGAAGGTCATGCCGGGTGTGTTAGGCGGAACTGCTGCTGCAAAGTCCAGAAGAAACTTTGAGATTTGTCTCTGGGGTGATGTGACCACATCCTTGTCACCTTTCCAAAACAGCAGAGGCTCTGGGATGAGAGCGTCCCCAGCAGTCCTGTGATCCTGTGGCTAGAGCGAAATGGGACATTGAGGAGCCAGGGGATATCTGAGTCCTCTGGGACTGTTCCCGCAAACCTAGCAACTGAAGTCTCAAAATTAAAGCAGCCATCTTTGGCTAGGCAGAAAATGATACTCAATTCTCTGTCAGAAGCGAAGTTCTACATGACTAAGCTTCCTAATTGAGAGCCCCATTTGTTGAATTATTTAAAGCCATATCATTGATTTTCATAATCCATCTCCTTTTAGAATCCTAGAATGTTAAAATGAGGTGGAAGAGACCTTGGAAATGGTCATAATCCAGCCTTCTTATTTTACAGAGGCCCAGAGAGGTTATGAGTTGAGTGAGGGCACACACAGCACTGTAGGGTCAGGGACCACGTTGCTCTTTAGTTCCTTTGGTGTCATAGGTCAGCTGGGGTCATAGATCAGAAGCTGGACAGATTGATGAAAAAGGATCGTTTCAAAGATGTAAGAAATATACTGATGTGCACTGTTAGCTTTTAAAATGCTTCTTGCTCATGCATCCTGTAGATATCTAGAAAATTCCAGTAGAATATTTTGACTGGTAAAATATTGCAGTGGCCTTTTTGGAATACCTAAAATTGTTCCCGCCACGTATGTATAGGATTTAGTCATAGCACAATTCATATTGCTAACTGGTTATTTTTTTCAGAGAGTTTGGTTGGGAGTAGTTTATTTTCCAAGCACTAGGCCTGTTTCAGTTGATTGACTTTGATACCCTGTCTTTTGTAACTTACTTTCTTTAAATAACATGCCTCTCCTATTTTATCTCCCAGGTATTGAGATGCTGTGTGTGCAAAGTATGGCACTGTGCACCTAATCAGCATTCTCTAAATATTGGTTCAAAGAGTGAATACCATCCCATCCAGAAGGGTCTGCATGTTAATTTCTTTAGATTTTCACTATGGCTGGGGGTTAAAAAAAAATTCCGTATATTGAGGGAGACTATTAGCTGTGTATTATTTTTTTTTCCTCGTCTAGCTTGAATGGAGTCTTAAACGAAAAATTCACATGCTCACCAAAAGGCTGGGAGAGGTTTTGTAAATTGAATATGGGGTTATTGTTTGCGTTCACAAAACAAAGCCCTAAATCACATTTAGCATAATTTGTGGTTTTAAATTGGACTGATTTAGCAAGGAGAGTGAAATAATCTCTCATCCTGTCAAAAAGGCGATACCTTTAGACCAGCATTTAATTGCACTGGCAGAGTAACTTCGGGAAGACGGCAGTAATTCTGGCTGCATTATTCTTGGTTTGTGGCTAAATTGAGATCATCATTTTCTCCTGGTTTCACTAACTTTCCTTATTGCTCTTCAAACTAATCAGATGAATGTGCTCTTCAAACTAATCAGATGAAGGCTTAGTGGTAGCTGGAGGGTGGACAGGGGAGGGATGAGGTCTGTGGGCAGCTGTAATGTATATACTTTATGATCTGGGGGGAGAAGATGACATCCAGTGACCCAGAAGGCACAGCCTGGTGATTTTCTTTTCTTTTTTTTTTTTTTTGGACATAGAGTTTCACTCTTGTCACCCGGGCTGGAGTGTAATGGCTTGATCTCGGCTCACTGCAACCTCTGCTTCCCAGAAGCGATTCTCCTGCCTCAGCTTCCCGAGTAGCTGGAACTACAGGCATGCGCCACCATGCCCAGCTAATTATTTATTTATTTATTTATTTTTTGTAGAGATGGGGTTTCACCACGTCGGCCAGGCTGGTCTCAAACTCCTGACCTCAGGTGATTCACCTGCCTCAGCCTCCCAAAGTGCTGGGATCACAGGAGTGAGCTACCACACCAGGCCAATCTTTTCTCTTCTCGAGATAGAGTTGTACTCTTGTCACCTAGGCTGGAGTGTAATGGCATGATCTTGGCTTACTGCAACCTCTGCCTCCCAGGTTCAAGCGATTCTCCTGCCTCAGCTTCCCGAGTAGCTGGGATTACAGGCGTCTGCCACCATGCCCAGCTAATTTTTGTATTTTTAGTAGAGTCAGAGTTGCACCGTGTTGGTCAGGCTAGTCTTGAACTCCTGACCTCAGATAGTCCACCCACCTCGGCCTCCTAAAGTGCTGGGTTACAGGTGTGAGCCACCGCTCCCGGCCCTGGTGATTTTCTTGGTAATCCCTTACACACAGTGAATACCATTCATTTACACAGAAGTGTTCCATGGACTGTGCACCTAAGAAAGAATGTACATTTGCAGCCACACTGTACAGGTAGGGTTCATTTGCATTCCTGCAGGTATCCCAGAGGGAGGGTTCTGGAGGAACTTTGAGCTGTCTAGATTACCCGATGAAAACTTGTTCTTTTATCAACGGCCACTTCCGGAGCTCGCGCAGGGGCCGCTCACTAGACCACTGCTCCCTGCCCGTGTGCCCCAGTTCAGAGTAATCTGTATTCTTCACAGTCCCTTCTTCCAGTGAAAGCATCTCTTTTACCTTTCACCAAGCCTTACCTCTAAAAGGCCAGTGATACCTTAGACATTTCAGAAAGCTCAAAATGATGACTCAAAACTATAATAAGCAACGTGCCTGTCCCTTTACTTTTGTTCCCCTGGGAGTTATCAATTGGTCGTCTTGAAATGGCTAGCTGCTTAAATATTTTAGATGTATGTTTGGCATTTTACACACACCTTTGTGGTGGTTCTAATCACAGGTGCTCCCGGGTCTGAGTTTAGGTCTGACTGCAGGAAGCAGGTTGGTCTCCCAGCCTCCTGGGGCACCCCTGGAGGAAGCAGATGGGATGGGAAGTAAACCTGACTGATAAGAGACATCACACTTTCTCAGGCTGAGTTCCACGCCCCTGTTCATGTTCTTAGTTATCTGGATAGTCTTGGTATCAGAGTTTACGTGAACCATGGCCAAGCTTATCACCCACAGAAATGTTTGTAGAAAGACTGAATAGCAAGTGGGATAGATGAATTACAGTCTATGGAAACTCCTGCTGCTGCCAATTTACAGTTTGTGCTTTTAAGATAAAGATGCCTTTGGCTTTTACATTTGTATTTTCAAATGTATATATTCTAGGGAAGGAGGAACCTTTCAGGTCCCCAGTGGCTGATTTTCACCTTTGATCTGAATACTAGTATTCATAGCATGCTACTGAGTTGACTTTTTGTATTTCTATATAATAACAGTGTATCGATCTCTTGCTAATCTGATGTAACCTTTGTGTGTGTATATGTATGTATGTGTGTGTGTGTTACTGATCAAGTTAAATTACTCCAGAGGCCAAAATCAGAAACTAGGGAGGGTGAATATTTCATCATTTAAAATTGAGCTTATATTGTTATTAATGCAATGTTAAGAGGACAGCTTTTCAGATACTGGGTTATTTAAGCAGCTTCAATGTACATCATCCCGGAAGGGATTTGGAGATCTCCATCTTTCTTCTGGTGGCAATGCAAGAAAACCAAAAGAAAAAAAAAATTGCACCTATAAGATCATATATGACAACCATAAGTATATATGCTTCATAATACTCATTTTTATAGACTGTTTGTGGTACAGAAATTCTCTTTTGTGCATTTTTGCTCTGTTTCTCCCCCCCCATTAGCCATCTGAAACAAACTGTGCCAAGCACTTAGCTAATCATATACGAAGAAGCATTTCTTCTTCTGACGGCAATGCAAGAAAACCAAAAGGAAAAAAAAAGTTGCACTTAGAAGATCGTATATGACAACCATAAGTATATATGCTTCTTAATATTCATTTTTATAGGCTGTTTATGGTACAGAAATTCTCTGTTGTGCATTTTTGCTCTGTTTCCCCCCTCATTGTCCATCTGAAACAAACTATGCCAAGCACTTAGCTAACCATATATGAAGAAGCATTTAAGCAGCCACTCAGAAGTGAGTGACTGCTTATGAAAAACCTGTAAAAAATAAATAAGACCGGTAGGTGAATTCGATGGCCCTTTTGAAGTTATGTCTTTCTTTGCTTTGAAAGAAAAACAAAATGTGCCGCTGCCATCCCTTGCTAGGAGTTCCATTCCCAGATTCACACTCAGCATTTTTGTTTCCATAGTGGTGCCACCGAACATCGCAGAACTGAAGAATTTGGAGGTGCTCAACTTTTTTAATAACCAAATCGAGGAGCTGCCCACACAGATCAGTAGCCTTCAGAAACTCAAACACCTGAACCTTGGGTGAGTATCAGTGGAGCGGAAAGGATGGAGAGGAAGAGAGTGGAAGGGGCATGCCGGGTAAGGCCAGGGGAGGGATTCCTTTTATATTATTGCACAGAAATGGATTTCTAATTTCTTTTTATGTTTTGGGTCTTAAAAAAATTTTATTGTTTTAATATATTCTTTCAGTGGCCTACATTAGTGCATATTTGAGAGCTAATTGAGAGGCTAATTGTTGGCGCAATAAGGAAGTTAAATTTTTATTGTATTTTCTGTCCAGTAAAATTTTATCTCAGTTCTGCTGACCGAGAAGGGACTTATTTGCATAGCATGAACTGGCGGACAAGTGGTAATATGGCTGATTTCTTTTTCCTCTCTGTGTTAAATTGGAATAGTTTACAAAGCACCTTCGTGCCGTGGAGGGAAGAATATTTTCCCTAATGATGCTTCATTCATTTATGCAATTCTTCTCTTTAGCTGAGAGGTGACAGTCCTGTCTTTCTTTATGCAAAGGTGAAGAGAGGAGTTTTGATTCAGCTGAGGTTGCAGAACCAGGGAGCAGTAAATAATAATAATGATAATCTATTTTTGTGTATTGCTTTGCAGCACTTGACCCTCTCAACATTTGTGAGGTACGGAGGGCAGGTTTTAGTGCTTTCATTGTATACAGAGGAAGCCAAGCCTTTTCAAAGGGGCTAAGGGCCTGGCTCCTGGTCACCCCTGAGGTTAGCGGCCAAGCTGGGAAGATGGTTCTGGGTCTGAAGGCTCCTTCAGACCCCATTGTTATGGTCTGGGTCTGTGTCCCCAGCAAATCTCATGTGGAATTGTAATCCCCAGTGTTGGAGGTGGGGCCTGGTGGGAGGTGATTGGATCCTGGGGGCGGAGCTCTCCTGAATGGTTTAGCACTATCCCCTCTTGGTACTGTCCTTGTGATAGTGAGTGAGTTACTGTGAGACCTGGTTGTTTAAAAGTGCGTAGCACCTCCCCCCTTGTGCTGTCTTGCTCCTGCCATGTAATAAGCATACTCCTGCATTGCCTTCCACCATGAGTAAAAGCTCCCTGAGACTTCCCCACAAGCAGCTGCTGCCACGCTTCCTATACAGCCGGTAGAACCACGAGTCGGTTAAACCTCTTTTCTTGTAAGTTACCCAGCCTCAGGCATTCCTTTATAGCAATGGGAGAACAGACAAATAGATCCATAGACCCCAACCGGAACTGCGGCATCAGAATTTCATCTTCATTGGCGCAGCTATCAGATGAAACTGCCCACTCATGCTGCAGTCTCTGTGCAAAGTCATATGTTCATTAAATTTGTAGCCACTAAATGCTCTAGTTAAGTTAGTGATTGACGTGGAGTGGCAATAGATGCTGGCCAGGTATTTCCCAGGTTTTTTTGTTTTTGTTTTTTTTTTTTTGAGACAGAGTCTTGCTTTGTCACCAGGCGATCTGGGCTAGCTGCAGCCTCCGCCTCCTGGGTTCAAGCGATTCTCCTCCCTCAGCGTCCCGAGTAGCTGGGACTACAGGCGTGCGCCACCATGCCCAGCTAATATTTGTATTTTTAGTAGAGATGGGGTTTCACCATGTTGGCCAGGATGGTCTCAATCTCTTGACCTCATGTCCGTCTGCCTCCGCCTCCCAAAGTGCTGGGATTACTGCGTCTGGCCGTATTTGCCAATATAATAGGGAGCAGTCATGAAAAAAAATCTCATTCATGGAGTGATTTTTAGTTTATTGCTCCCACAAGGAATTTGGTCAGACACATTATTTTGAAGTTCACTTGGGCTTAGGGACCAACTTTATGAGATCCATGGGCAGCCTTTATTCTTATGTCTGAGGGAAAGTGAAGTTAAAAGGAGGGAGGAACATCGCTTGAGATGAGATGGTTTTTTTTTTTTTCTCCCTACAAATTTGGAGCCTGTATACCCATCTGGCAAAGCAGAAATGAAAAGATGCTCCATTTATATCTTGGTTTTACAGGCTATTCTATCCTGATCTTTAATTTGTATGTGAGAAAGAAGCTAAAACTACATATAGATGTATATTCTTACTGTTAATTTGTTCATTTATTAAATGAAATATATGTACACATTATATCTATTTTATATATATATATATAAAATCTCAATCACTAGGAACAGTGCTTGGCACATACTGAGCAGTACCTAGTATTAGTTAGCTATTGTTATCATCATAATTGTCTTATTTACGTTTTCATTGATTCCATGACTATGTAAGTGACTATTCTATGTCAGGAATCTTCCTAGTACCGGGGAGCCAAGGTGAAGGTTATGGTCCCTGACCTTACCTATTGGGGCAAGGCTGGTTATAAACAGGAACAGACCAATGAGGTCACAGATATGCTGGCGGTTGTGGACCAACAGGGGGAACAGCAAGACCGGGGAGCACTTTAGTCCACAGATGAGATCTTCAGGAGCACAAACACAGCAGGGAGCACAGGAGCCGAGACTTGATGCGTGAGAATTTCTCAGACTTACAAGTTGAAGGAAGGCATCTCAGATGGAGTGAATGGCACTCTTTTGTTTTGTTTTGTTTTTGAGACAGAGTCTCACTCTGTCGTCGAGGCTGGAGTATGGTGGCACAATCTTGGCTCACTGCAAGCTCCACCTCCTGAGTTCAGGAGATTCTCCTGCCTCAGCCTCCCAAGTAGCTGGGACTACAGGCGCCTGCCACCACGCCCAGCTAATTTTTTACATTTTTAGTAGAGATGGGATTTTGCGGTGTTAGCCAGGATGGTCTTTATCTCCTGACCTCATGATCCACCCGCCTCGGCCTCCCAAAGTGCTGGCATTACAGGTGTGAGCCACCGTGCCCGGCTGAGAATGGCATATTTAAACGCTCACAGCACTGCCTGCCTGGGGCCTGGGAATTGTCAGTTTTTTGGCACTGTTGAGTATAAAGTGTGAGGCGGGCGGCTGTCAGGTCAGAGGTCAGGCTAGACAGGGAATCCTGGATGTCTGTTGTTCAGTGAATGAGGATTTACCAAGTTCCTTACCATGTACCAGGCATTGTTCTAGCTGCTGGCCATCCAGCCCTGATGGAGCTTCCATTACAGTTGGAGAAACCAACTATAAACAAATAAATGTTTATAATAATGACAGGAAGTAAAAAGTGCTAAGAAAAGCACTCTGTGCTAAATAAAGCAGCTCCTCTCGGGCGTGGTGGCTCATAGCTATAGTTCCAGAAGTTTGAGAGGCTGAGGCTGGCAGGTCATCTGAGGCCAGGAGTTCGAGAACAGCCTGGTCAACGTGGCGAAACCTTGTCTCTACTAAATATACAAAAATTAAGTGTGGTGGCACGTGCCTGTGATCGCAGCTACTCTACCTGGGAGGCTGAGGCAGGAGAATCGTTTGAACCCAGGAGGCAGAGGTTTCAGTGAACTGAGATCGCACCACTGCACTCCAGCCTAGGTGACAGAGTGAGACTCCATCTCAAAAATACATACAAAAATAAATAAACGAGCTCCAATTTTATACTGACCCTTGAGAAATTTGCATAGCAGAGTAGCAGATAGGAGATATGGTCATATTTCCGTATGAAAGAGTATGGAGAAGAGGGTGGAGGGAGGTAAACTAGAGGTTAGGAGACCAATAAGAAGACGAGCTTCATGTCCCAGGTGAACTAGGACAGTGACAGTGGAGGTGGGGGGGATTTTATATGAAAAATATACAGGCGGTAACGTTGACAGACAGTAACTGATGGGATGGAATGATACCTTCATTTCTGTGTTGGGCAGCTGAAAAATACAACAGATGGAGACAGGTTTGGGAAGAAGATAATAAGCTCAAATTTTGTTCTTTTTTGACTTTCCTAATAACATTTTGGTTTGAGGCAGCAGAGGACAGAGTCGTACACTTTTCTTTTTTTTTTTTTTTCTTTTTTTGAGATGGAGTTTCTTTCTTGTTGCCCAGGCTCCAGTGCAATGGCATGATCTCGGCTCACTGCAACCTCCACCTCCTGGGTTCAAACGATTCTCCTGCCTCAGCCTCCCGAGTAGTTGGGATTACAAGTGCACACACCCACACCCAGCTACTTTTGTATTTTTAGTAGAGATGGCGTTTCACCATGTTGGTCAGGCTGGTCTGGAACTCCTGACCTCAGGTGATCCACCTGCCTCGGCCTCCCAAAATGCTGGGATTACAGGCATGAGCCACTGCGCCCGGCCCTAAACTTTTCCTTTTCAATGAATGCATGTTAGTTGCCTTCTTGTTCTCTTTGGAGTTGTTTGCATTTTTGGCTGTCGGTGCTGTACTGATTGTGTAAAGCTTTTTGTATTTAATTACATAGCTACATAGACGGAGTTGTCAAAGTTTGAACAAAACTCCCAGTTCTTTGAGAAAGGAGCTAAGATGGGTTTCACTAAAGGATACTCTGTCCTCAAATGGCATAAAGAATTGTACTCACACAGTGAGGCAAGTTATAGGGAGGACTCCTTATTCTAAGGAGCCAGGGTGAAAAGCATACACACAGGAGATCACAAAGTGGAGATGGGAAGCCACTTGTATGTGTGATCCATCAGAATTTGCTTTCAAAGTTTTTATAGTATTTACAGTTTATTCTGATGATTGTAAGACATGAGAGAATTTTAGGCCACCTGAATAAGTAAAAGAAAGTTTAGTTCTGTTCTCAATTCCTTAAATGCGGTTTATTTCATAGAGTTATTTTCCAAAAAGTGTGAAGCCACATAGGTTGATGTGGCTTCAACAATTATCCATGTTGATGATTATTTCTAGGGTAACTTCACTGCAGGACCACCGTGCCCAACTGTTCGGGAATAACGTTTGACCTCGTTTGTTGCTAGAGCTTGTCTCATAAACACATAGAAGTTTTTATTAAGTCCCTTGTTGGATATTTGTGGATTTGGATTATTTATTTATATATTTTTTGAGACAAGATCTCACTCTGTCACCCAGGCTGGAGTGCAGTGGCATGCTCTCCGCTCACTGCAACCTATGCCTCCTGGGCTCAAATGATCCTCCCACATCAGCCTCCTGAGTAGCTGGGACCACAGGTACGCACCACCACGCCATGCTGATTTTTGTAGGTTTTTTTTTTGGTATAGACGGGTTTTTGCCATGTTGCTCAGGCTGGTCTCGAGCTCCTGAGCTTAAGCAATCTGCCTGTGCTGGCCTTCCAAAGTGCTGGGATTACAGACGTGAGCTACTGGGCTCGGCCTGGATTTTTTTAAATTTTTATTTTTGATAAGTGTGAGTAGGTCACTGTGGAGGTGAGAAAAATTAGTGCCTTTAGACAAGAAGGTTTCTTTGAAGCTGGAGGTGCTCAGGACAACCTGCGGAGAAGAAACTGCTCTGAAAAGGAGGCATTAGTACAGACCTTTCTGGGGCTTTAGAAGACAAGGAAAAAAGATGCTGAAATAGCCTGAAACCCCCTGGTTTTATCAACTTCTCCATCATATGCAGGCATTTGCCCACTTCCAACACGCATTTGAAAAATCTTCCCATGCAAACAAAAGAATTGATACCACTTGGCATAGCTGAGCCCTGCGAAGCTTTATGTTTCAACACCTGAGGTCACCTGAGATTAACCAAGTGTGGCACAAATAGAAAACCACACTTGATAGTTGAGACTATCCAGAGTGGCTTGTCATGAGGTGAGCTTGCTCGCTTAGGGCTAAATCAAAATTTTCTCTCAAATCTTTTGAAAAATAATTCTAGCAACAGCTCTCATTCCCTGAGAAGCCACGTGTGAGCCATGGATTGGGTGTTGGGTGCTTCGGATATTTTCTCTCTTATCCTCTCAGTGATCCTGCCCTGAAGGTGTTGTCAGCCTCATTTTATAGTTGAGGAAACTGGGTCTCAGAGAAGCTGAGTAACTTGGTGAAGGTCACGCAGCTAGCAAGTGCTGGAGCCGGTCTCCTCACCTAGCTGTCTCCTACCTTAAAGCTCCATACTTTTCCTACCGCCACTGTAGCCTCTCATGGAAACCTTGATTGCTAGCAGTGTCAGAGCGGGGCCCTGAGCATGGAATTCCTATGTGTCAAAATGTGGATGGATGGAGATGGATGTTAGCACCTGCTGGAGGGAGGGGGGACAGCCAGCATGTTCCATCCTTCATTCTGCAGAGAGAGAACCCACCATGTCACCATCCACCTGGACTGGTGTCCGGAGAGGTGGCCAGAAGTCTCTGCAGTTCCTTGGCCGCTTTGTAGCTGGGGCTGTTGCTAGCAATTCTTCTGAAGTTTTAGCATTTGTTTAAGGACTTCTTTCTGCCCGCCAGGGTGGTGTGCCTACCACTGTTACTTACTGCTGTCAGCGGCACATGGGACTCTGCTGTGTTCCTTAAATGTTGTGGGTATTGGTTTGTCACTCAAAGGAAAAAGGAATCTGCAATTAAGTAGATTCTTGCCACCAGGAGGTGGAGGGGCTCCAGGCTTGCTCTGGGCTGAAGATTGAGTGGGAGCTCTCTCTCAGGTGAGATGCCTCTTCCCTCTAAGCCTGTCTAACCGTGGATTTCCTCTACCTAATATTGCAAAAGTGTATTTATTTGCAGAGAAAAATGTTAAGGAATCAGCAGTTTTCAAAAAGAGATAACCGAAAGCAGCGTTTAAAGACAGAAGCACCTAGTGTGGTCTTCTCTGCTGTCCTTCCTTTGACTTGCAATTCTTCTCAGAATCCTTGTATCAGAGCCCAAGGGTCTGGAGCAGCTTTGGCCTCCGTGCGGTATGGGGTGTTTCCAGACACATGTCGCCTTCATCAGTCACTTCTGAAGTCTTGGCTCCTCACCCTCTCTTAGGCTGTTTTTTCATCTCAACATAGCATTAATGACAAGCTCCATCTTACCTGTATTGCAAGGTAGTTTTAGTGAACAAGCGAAGTCCTTGCCATAATGTGCTTCACAAATTGTGACTTCATGGAGAATGTTTGTTCTTGCTGTCGTGGCAGTAGATAGTCGTGGAGGTAGTTTTGCTGGGTGTAGTCTGTCTGGGAAGTTTTCTGCCTGACAGGGGGAACCCGCGTTTCCCTTTTGGTTGCCCCCTCTGCTGTCAGCTGTTTCTGGTGAGGCCCTCTTGGTAGGGCTGGATGGAGCTGAATGTGTTAGGAGAAGGATCGATGGCTAGAATGATTTTTATTGTCACAGTCCCTTCCACCTTTCAGTATCTGTCAACTTTTATTAAATTTTTTTTTTAAAAATTGGCTTTTAAGTATGCTCAAAGGGAACTGCGTTAAGAAAAATAAGGGGCTTGAAGAAAGGATAAAAGATAGTGTAGAAAAAAATTCCCTTAGACTTCACTGGAGACACGCCCACACACACACACGCACACCCACACATACCCACACGCACCACACCCACAGCACACACACATACCGTGTACAAACACACCCACACACACACCACACACACACTGCGTACACACACACCACCACACCCCCAAACACACCCTATACACACACCACACCACACTCATACCTACCCCACACCACACACATACCCGCCCCCACACAGCCCCCCACGTCCTTCACACACCACACCCCACCCCTCACACACCACACGAAACACCCAGATACACATACACATAACATCACACACAATACCACACACACACAGCACACACCCCACACACACACTCACACACAATTGACCCTTGAGCAACACATGGGTTGCGGGAGCAACACAATGACTCATGCAGTCAAAAATCCACACATTACTTTTGACTCCGAAAAATCTTAATTCCTAATAGCCTACAGTTGGCTGGAAGCCTTACCAAAACTAGAAATAGTTGATGAACACATATTTTGTATGTTACATGTATTCTATTCTGCATTCTTACAATAAAGTAAGCTAGAGAAAAGAAAATGTTATTAAGAAAGTCGTAAGGAAAAGAAAGTGCATTTACTGTGCTTTAAGTGGAAGTGGATCATCTTAAAGGTCTTCGTCCTCTTCATGTTGAGTGGGCTGAGGAGGAAGCGGAGGGTTGGTTTTGCGGTCTCAGGGGTGGCAGAGGTAGAAGAAAAATATCCATGTCTCATTGGACCCAGGAAGTTCAAACCCATGTTGCTCAAGGGTCAATTGTATGATTTAAAAATTTTTTAGGTTGTGATAAAATGCACACAAAATGTACCGTCTTTGTAGTAGACAGTTCAGTGGTGTTAAGCGTATTCACATTGTTGTTCAGCCAATCCCCAGAATTTTCTCATCTTGCAAACCTGAATCCTACGCCCATTAAACCACACCTCTCCATTCCCCCTCCCTCCAGCCCCTGGCCATCACCATTCTAATTGAAGATAATTTTCAGTGTTAGCAGTTGTAGAACAAAAACATGATTTTCCCTCCAAAAAAGGAATAAATGGAATGAAATCAAGCAAAAGCCTGAAAACTACAAAGCTTCATGTGTATATTTTGAGATATTATCACTACGTTCATAGGGAAGTTGTTCTTTACAAGGAAAGATATTTTGTAATGGTTTGAGTTTTTGTGTAAAGCAGTGATTAAGTTTCACCGTTGGAGGAAAATAACAGCTAAGAAATTTTCAAGTGTTTCAAGATCATGTAAGCTGTCTGACTGAAATTATTAGCCTAAATAGGACAACATACCACACCTTCTCACTTATATGTGGAATGTAAAAAAGTAAACCTCATCGAAACAGGGAATAAAATGGTTACCACAGGCTGGAGGGAGAGGGGAATTGCAGAGATGTTAGCCAAAGGACATGAAATTTTAGTTAGGAGAAATAAGTTCAAGAGATGGATTGTACATCATGGTGACTGCAGTTAATAACAATATGTGGTATAATTGAAAATTGCTAAGAGAGTGAATTTTAAGCAGTCTCACCACAAAAGACAAAAAAAATGACAAGCATATGAGGCAGCGCGTGTGTTAAATAGTATGATTTAAACCATTCCATGATGTAGTATACATACATCAGAAGTATCATGTTGTACACCATAAGTATGTACAATCTTTGTCATTGTAAATATTAAATAAATGCTTTTTTTAATTAAAAAAAAAAAAGGATGGGCATGGGGGCTCACGCCTGTAATCCCAGCATTCTGGGAGGCCTAGGTGAGAGGATTGCTTGAGCTTAGGAGTTTGAGACCAGCCTGAGCAACATGGCAAAACCCCATCTCTGCAAAAAATACAAACATTAGCAGGGCGTGGTGGCGTGCATCTGTGGTCCCAGTTACTTGGGAGGCTGAAGTGGAAGGATCGCTTGAGCCTGGGGAGGTTGAGGCTGCAGTGAGCTGAGATCATGCCTCTGCACTAAAACCTAGGCAACAGAGTAAGACCCTGTCTCAAAAAAATAAAAAATAAAAATAAAGTATAAAGTGACTCTAGGATCATGGCACTGTCTTACACTTTCAGCGTCTGAAACAGAGGTGCCCTTGATAGTCTGTATGAATGTGTCTTTGGTGTCATGACATAGATTTTTGTCCCCCTGCAACAGCATGAACAGGCTGAACACTTTGCCACGAGGCTTCGGCTCCCTGCCAGCTCTTGAGGTTCTGGACTTGACGTACAACAACTTGAGCGAAAATTCTCTTCCTGGAAACTTCTTCTACCTGAGTAAGAAACTTTCAATTCTATAAATCTCCTCAACCTTGTACTTTGCGTTCTGAGAGGGAAATTTATTTGCCAGGACCCAAACTCCAAGAGAAATTATTGGACAGAGATAATTTTTTCTTTAGAGACTCCTTTTGAATATTCCTTCGTAGCTCAGCAGTATGTGCATTTGATAGATCGTTATGTGACACCATTGGGCTGAAGTGGACTTAGTAATGTCATATTAACATTCTGAGAGAGATTATATACCTAAATGAGATCAAGCCTCACATTTAGCTAAGAGACTTGACTTTCTTTTTAAATAGCATGCCAAAAAAAAAAAAAAAAGTATCTTCCTATGTTGCTATTAATTCTTTGTAGGATATTTGCCCAGGATATTCCAACCAATTATTTATTAAAAATATTTATTAATAAACCAGTAACACAATTTTAAAATTTTCCAGCCAGTATTCCTATTTTGAGCCTTTTAAAAAGTACTCTTATTGACCTATTTATCCAGTACACAGGCATTAAGAAATTATTGGCCACAGGTGAACACACTTTATTCTTTCATATGCAAACAAATTTCTTGCTGGAGATGCTTTTGAAAATTAAAAAATGATTTCTTCTGGGAACTCATGCACTATTTTGGACAAGGTTTGCTTCCCTTAAATCAGTGTTCTATTTCTTCAAATAGTAACTTGTGTGGCATTCAGAAAATCTGAATTTTCAGAGCTGATCTCTAAAATTTTATTTTTTACCTTACGTACATTACCTTTCTATGACTTTCTCAAGCACATGAAACCAACTATAAAATATTTTCTTGGGCAGTGGAGCAACTATTTTTATTATGTTATATTAACATGCAGTTCTCGGGAGTATGAGCTACAAAGATCACTTGAGGCTAGGAGTTCAAGACCAGCCTGGGCAACATAGAGAGACCCTGTCTCTAGAAATAAAAATTTAAAAAGTAGCCAGGCATAGTAGCATGAGCCTGTGATCTTAGCTACTTGGGAGGCTGAGGTAGAAAGAGTGCTTGAGGCCAGGAGTTTGAGGCTGCAGTGACCCACTGCACTCCAGCCTAGGTGACAGAGCGAGACTCTGTCTCTAAAAAATAAATACGGGTAAACAAAACATGTATCTAATTATACTCAGCTTTTTTGGTTGAAGATAAACAGATGCTTTAGAATTTTAGCCTTCAGTAGGTTGGAATCGTATTATCATTGTGTAATAATTATGAACAAATTTCTGACTACTGATATTCTCCTTAAGTTAGGATTTACTCTGTTAACTTCATGTCATTATTTTAGCCTCTTTGTCTTCATTTACTTTTGTCCTTAAGGCTGTAGAAACACGTAGTAATAATTAGTCAGATTATGGAACTGATGAGCTGTGGTTATAGCCTCCATCACCAGAAAGCCTTCCATTAATTTGTAACACAGTGCTATTTACATAGGAAAAGGTCTATTTTAACAGAGCTGTATTCTCTTGAAAGAACCCTTTTGCCCTAGGTATCCATAAAAGTGGCACAGTAGTGTTCTTTGTTTTACTTTGGATGCAAATGGAGAAATAAATGTGAATCAAAAGTAATCTATGAGAAGTATAGCAATCTTTTCTGAAAATGTGCTGAAACTCTGTGCCCCAAAATGCTGGCGCCCACAGTTGTTAATTGCGTCATTCCTCTTGGATATAGATGTTTTCCTGGACACACCAGCTACACAATAAGCCAGTAAATCTAAGTTTGACCTGCTTGTTATTATTGGGAGCCCTAGGTATGTCAAAGGCTTTTCACCAAGCCAGGGTTATTAATCAAAGCTGACTCCCTCGTATTGATCAGACCTCAAATGGTTGTGTTCCATGCCACCCTGTTTATATATTGCTGTTTAATTTGCAGCCACCCTGCGTGCACTCTATCTAAGTGACAACGATTTTGAAATCCTGCCGCCAGATATTGGGAAGCTCACAAAGTTGCAGATAGTAAGTAATTTATCTAAATTCTTAGAAAATCAATTCACTGCTGCAGCCTTGTAGGGGTAGAATCAAGTCAATTTGAGCAGGAGTAAGGTTTGTTTTGTGGGAATAAACCACTACTCCTGATAGTGTTTCTTGATTATCCGCCGGCACTTGTAAATACATGGAAAGGATTGAGCTTTAGTAGAAGAGAGGACATAGAGGATGAGAGTTTCTGTGGAGCACCTTTTAATGTGTAAATATGTTGACAACTTGTTTTCTTCTGTTTAGCTCAGCCTTAGGGATAACGACCTGATCTCGCTGCCTAAGGAAATCGGGGAGCTTACCCAGCTTAAAGAGCTCCACATTCAGGGGAACCGCCTCACCGTTCTGCCCCCAGAACTAGGTAAGGTTGCTGATGAATGAACTTAGTTCTGGGTTTCATGAATAACAATTATCCTAATGTAGCAATTCTGAACAACCTCTGTCCTCTTCTTGGCAACTACTCTCCACCTAGGCACACGATGCTGATCATTTGAGAACCATTTGTCATTGACCAGAGTTAGCTGTTACAGGTTTGACCTTCCCGGATCCTGTGTTCTGCAGCTGTAGTGTCCCCTGTCTTAGAAACTGCTGATGAAAGATGACCCCGCTCAGCTCCCTGCGTGATGTAGTGGGAAAAGCATGGGATTAGTAGTAAGAGCCTTATCCCTGGCTCCTCATTGACTAGCTGGGTAAGCTTTCTGGGTCTTGGTTGGTTATTAATAACTTTAAGTATCACTCTTACTTTTTAACCCCTTAAATTTTTATTGACCTGGAAAAACTTTTACCAAATAGTTAAAGTAGTTGTTATGGCTACTTGAACATGTTGATACCTCTGCGGGTCGTGAATTTGCCTCTCTCCTGATCCCATCTCTAGTAGGAATTGTTAAATATGTTCTTGCTGGGAATGGATCCTACTCCTGGCCGCTGAATCCTAATCCTGTTTCTCTGCCAGGTCGTTCCTATTTCCAGGGTGGGTTTATGTCCCCCGCCAGAAATAACCTCCAAGCCAGTAATTCTGTTACTGCTTCGTTCCACTGCAAAAGGTTCACGAGTTCCCTTATCTTTTCTTGTGCAGACCCTCCATAGCCTCTCATTTCTTCAGTCCTTTGAACCACATTGTTTTCTCAAACTGCGATTATTTGCTTTTCTACTCCAAAATACCATCATTTTTAAGAAACACATTGAGGAAGCAGTTCTTTAAACAAGTTTGGCAGTTTGAAGAGGCCATTTGTTAGAAATTAGAATGCAATCACCAGGAGGGCAGGGACATTTTTGTATTTGTTCCCTCGGGTACAGTAGGTGCTCAGAAAACACTGACTGAATGAATTAATGAAGCAAGGACCTTGGATGACAGGACGTTAGGAAGGTTATGAGCAGGCTCATGTGGCTAATGGTTACGCATAGGAAGACTGAGACACAGAGCACGCCTATCAGCACCTTGAGTTCTGTTGGCAGCCATATTAGTCTAAAGGGAAGGCAGTCACGTGATTTCGTGGACCAGCTGGGAAGTCCCGCCTCCTCTCTTGCCATTTCCCTTAGCTCTCTTGCTAGTGTTAAAAATCCACCTAGAGGATTATTTAATGATTTTTTAAGGGCTGAGGAGCAACTCAACACTTCTCTTTACTGAGTTGCAAGTAGTCACGTGTTGCTTTGGGAGCAGGGTGACAGAATCAAGAAACGCTTTTTGCAAACATTTTCAAGGCAAAAAACTTCTTGTTAAAGGAGAGATCTCGGGCCGGGCACGGTGGCTCCCAGTTGTAATCCCAGCACTTTGGGAGGCCGAAGCAGGCGGATAGCTTGAGCCCAGGAGTCTGAGACCAGCCTGTGCAACATGGTGAAACCCCGTCTCTACAAAAAGTACAAAAAATTAGCTGGACGTGGTGGTGCATGCCTGTAGTCCCAGCTACTCGGGAGGCTGAGGTGGGAGGATCACCTGAGCCTGGGAGGTCAAAGCTGCAGTGAGCAGTGATCGTGCCACTGCACTCCTGGCTGGGTGACAGAACAAGACCTTGTTGAAAGGAAAAAAAAAAAAAAAAGAGAGATCTTGTACAGTGGTTAATAACCACAGATGTTAGCATAAGTAATAGCTGGGGAGCTTCTGCAGAACTCAAAAACTTGCTCCCTCCCCAACCTACTAAATCAGAATCTCCATGTGTGAGGTGAATTCTTCTATAACTTGGTGTAAAGCTCACTTAATGCCTCTGACATGTATGCTTGGTTAGTGTGGTTAGTAGAAACGGAAAAATAAATGTGTATTTTGATGTCATTTGATCTTATTTCATTTTTCAAGCAGTGAGGCAACGTAGGATATTAAACAATTATTTTATCAGACAGTAATTTGCCACAAAAATGTCTAGTTGAACCTACGCATGCCTATGTATATATTTTAAAATCTTACTCATTTTGCTTATCTTATTTAAATACTGCATGAGGTCATATTTGTTCAACATTTCTGTAAGGCTTTCCATTAACAAATCATGTATATTTTTATTCAGGTGTAGAATTGAGGGGGAAGGCTTTAAATGACTTTATTTTTGCGAGCCGTATGTAGAAAAGCTTAATCTTAACATTTGCCTGATAGCAGTTTTTCCTGATTATAGACAAACAGTTGTAAGTACGTGATAAACCTTTAGAAGTCACTGTCACAAGCAAAACTCAAGATGAAGACAAATGGACTATTTATTTTTGAATGGTGATTTTTTTTAAAAAGTCAAGATTAGTATACTACTAATACAGTAACAGCTATTATAATAATAGGTAGTATCTATTAAGGCCTGGAATTGCAAGGCACTGTAAATGTTTTTCCTGCAATATCACCTATAATTATCGTAAGAATTATAAGGAGACTTTTTAAAGATGAGGACACTGAGGCATAGAGAGAGTTGGTTGCTGACAAGTCTGTGGGGACACAGCTAGTGAGTCAGGTGAGATTTGAACCTGACAGTCCCTCCTCTGGGTCCAGCTTCCTGATCACGGTGAGGTCCTTTTTCCCACCCATATGCTGGTAAGAGGATTCCTAGAAATGCAGTTTCCAAGTTTGAACAAAACACAACCCCAGCACACTCTCCCGAAAAGGCAGGCGGAGAGATGTTGCTGGATGGTGAGTTGGCGTGGGCTTTGCCGGCATGTGAGCAAGGCTAGCATAACACTTTGCAAAACGCAGCTGAGATGGCCTCTGCAAGACAAATTGCTGGCCCTTTCCAAGCCAGTTGCGTTGTCCCCGTGTCTCTTTCCCCTCAGTAAACATGCCCCAGGATGGGATCGTCTTTGGTTTTTTTGTGTCCCCAACGCCTGAGGTGACCATCTGGATGCTGCTCCGGGCTGGCTGATGGGCAGTGCTGGGCACTGGTGATGCATATGAAGCTTATGCTGCAGGTTTGCTTCTGGGGGTGTTTTAAAGTGTGGATGATGATCTCTCGCTGTATATTTTTTACATATCTGAATACACGAGATAAATGCTTTTGAGATTTCTGTGAAATTTCCTTTCATAATAAATCCAGAGTTTATTGACTTGTAAACTTTTTGGTACTGGTATTTGAGCCAAGCAAGAGAATCCAGGCGAGTTCTGATTTATCAGGTCTGAGAACATACAGGGACACAGCAAAATAAAGTCAGGGGCTTGGCTGGAGGTTTAATACGTGATTGTGTTACTTTACCTTCACTGTGTGTCTTTGAATAAGCCATTTAAACTGTTATGTCTGGTTCTTAAGTAGTAAAGCACTTGCTTTCATATTAGTCTATATACCTATAAGAAATGAGATGTAAGTTGAGTCTCGTGTACCCATTCATTCATTTATTCATTCAGGTTAAGTTCCTATTTGAGGGCAGACCTTTGAGTCCAAGGAACTTGCCTTTTCCGGTAAAGTAAGAGTCACTTACTCAACAACTGTTTGTTGAGCCCCTGGTATTTGCTAGGGATTAGAACAAGAGACAGAACACGCGTGACTGATGATGTTCTAGCGGGAGAAGACAGAAGAAAGAGAGAGAGAATATGAATGACAGATATGTGGTATTAAGAGCTCTGGGAAAAAAATGGAGCATGGAAGGGAGAGCCCGGCTGGGGAACGGGTAATCAGAGAAACCCTCACTCATAGGGTGGTGCCCTTTATGCAGAGACTTAAAGGAAGGAGGGAGGTCCCCTGACAGAGAGAATGGTAAGTGCAAAGGTCCTGGGTGGGCTTGTGTTGAGGAAGAGCAAGGCCAGTGTGGCTGGAACAGAGTGAGTGAAGGGGAGAGAGTTGTAAGCAATGAGCTTAGACAGGAAATGGGGTCTGGTTCACATGGGAACTGGTAGGACATTGTCCGAACTTGGGCTTTTACTCCGGGTGAAATGGGCACTCCTATAGATGCTCCCGTCCTAATCACCAGAATGTGAGAATTTGTTACCTTATATAGGGAAAGTGACTTTGCTTATGGACTTTGTAGTCTTGAGATGGGGAGATTATCCTGGATTGCCCAGGTGAGCCCGGTGTAATCACAAGGGGCCTCCTAAGACAGAGGAAGGAGGGTCAGAGGTAGGAGTAGAAGACATGGTGACAGAAGCAAGAGGCTGGAGTCACTCATGGAAGGGGCCACGAGCCGAGAAGTACAGGCAGCCTCCAGAAACTGGAAAGGCATGCAGCCGGATGTCCCCCCTGCAATCCCGAAGCCTCCAGAAGGAATGCAGCTTTATTGGCACCTCAATTTTAGCTCCATAAAATCCAGTTTTTGGACTTGTGCACTCTACAACAGTAAGAGACTAGATTTCTATTATTTTAAGCCACTGCTTGTAGTCATTGGTTAGAGCAGCAAAAGGAAACTGATACAAATGGGAAGACATTGAAGGGTTTTGAGGAAAGGCATAGCATGATCTGACTTTCTTATTTAGACACAGAGTCTCATGTGATCACCCAGGCTGGAGTGCAGTGGTGCAATCATAGCTCACTGCAGCTTCTGTCTCCCAGGCTCAAGCCATCCTCCTGCCTCAGCCTCCCAAGTAGCTGGGACTACAGGCGTGCACCACTGTGCCCCACTGGTTTTCTCAGTTTTTTGTGGAGATGGGGTGTTGCTGTATTGCCCAGGCTAGTCTCAAACTCCTGTGCTTGAGTGATCCTCCTGCCTCAGCCTCCTGAAGCACTGGGATTACAGGCATGAGCCATGGTGTGTAGCCCCTGACTGTTTTTCAGAGGAGTTCTTTGGCTGCTGTGCTGAAAATAGGCTGGAGGGCAGAGGGCAAGGGTGGAAGTGGAGAGTCTGAGAGATAGGAGACTATCATTGCAATCCT
Source organism: Homo sapiens (assembly GCF_000001405.40). NCBI lineage: Eukaryota > Metazoa > Chordata > Mammalia > Primates > Hominidae > Homo > Homo sapiens. The sequence goes on along the minus strand of NC_000010.11, from coordinate 16,747,636 downwards.
GGTGGGAGTAGATGCTGGCTTCATCCAGATGGTACTGGTAGTGGTAGAAGTAATGGTCGGATACTGGATCTGTTTCCAAGGCAAAACTAACAGGAATTGGTGACAGTTTAGATGAGGGGTGAGAGAGTTAAGGTTAACTGTGAGGTTTTTGGTCTAAGCAACTGGAAGGCTGGGAAAGATTTTAGGAAGAGTAGATTAGGAGAGGGATTGAGGAGAGGAGGTCATCCTGACCTGAGCCTCAGATATCTTAAATTTGAGATGCCTTAAGGGTGTCTCATTGAGAAGGCGATAGGGTATAAGAATCTAGAGTCCAGAAGAGACGTCTAGGCTGCATATATAGTTTGGGGCATTATCAGCATACATTTAAGAGTACAAATTGGATGAGATCCCTTGTGTGTGACTGCAGAGAGTGAAAGATTGAGCCTGAAGCACTATGGTTCCTAAACACTGAAGCCAGAAGGATCGAGGATGTTAATGGGTCGGGCTGACTCCCAGGCAGACATCCGTGGCCATTCAGGGACTGTGGCCACCTCGGTTGACACCACAGATGGCTCCCCATTGCTGGAGCTGTGTGGTGTGTTTTAGCTTCATAGGAAAAAGGGGTTCTCTTATGAGACAGATGGGGGTTGGGGGATTATTCTCTTTTTCCTGACATATGCAGTTAACTCGGCCAGGACAGGACAGTGGAATGCACATAATTGAAATATCCTCCGGAGCCTGCCTGAATGCAGAAGTCTCTTTTTGCCCAGTATTTTCAGCCAGCATCCAGACTCCTAAAAAGCAGCCAGCCGTGTGGCTAACTGAACTTTCACCCCTTTTTTGTTCTTTTATATATTATTTCTTAGAAGAATTAATTAGTAGAGAGGATAAAAATCCTGCGTTGGTAGTGAAGAAAGGAAACTCAATGCATACCCTGAACAATCCTCAGAATAGGTCAACAGCCCCAGGAAAAAAAAAAAAAAAAAAAAAAAGTGATTTGGGAGCTGGTGACGTCACCTGGGGTTTGTTAGCAGTTTTCTATTCCATTTCTGCATTTTCTCACCTGCCGATGAGACCGCTGTTGTGTGAGCTGAAGATCTGGATTCTGTGTTTTGCATAATTCTCTTTCCTGAGCATTCCATGGTTTCTGCTGCTTGTTCTGAATTGGAATCGTTTCTGGTTGCTTGGCTTCTAGGCAGTAATGGGACCTCTTGTCCCGCATTTGTTACCCAGATAATTTTGCCTTTGGAGAAGAGGGAAAAAAAATCACATTGGTCTGCTCGGCATGCAACAAAACAAAGTGCTATAGACATCAAAACCTTAATTTGCACCAATCCCAGCAGCCTATGGGACGTATGTCTGCAACGCTGCATACACCTGGGGCTAGCCAGCTTAGTGCCCTGCAATATGTGCCCACAATCAATAACATTTTTTACTACAGTAACTATGAGAAGCATAGTATTTTCTAGCATACTTGTGAAGAGTGGAAACAAATACTAATCCCCTTCAGAGAGTAAAGGATGTTATGAATTGAGAATTTCCTCTCAATTATATACTCCAGAATAAACAGAATTAACAATGAGTGGATGTACAGTCAAAAATCTCTTGTTATATCTCTTAATCCTTTTCCTGTGGACATTAAGAAGCTAAAGAAAAATAACTTTCTTTTCTGAGGCAGGGAAGAAGAAAATCCAGTATTTGTTTGGTCAATTAAGTCCCTGATTATAAGTGTCTTGTTTATCTTCTCTTCTGTTACTGTCATTCTGTCAACTGGTTCCCATTTATTTTATCCAGAGGTTTAAAACGTTTTTTAAATGTAAACAGTAGAGGATAGAGGTTAAGTGCTGGACTCTCCATCACTAGGCTTGGGTTCAAACCTCACTCTCCCACTGCCTTGTTCTGTGACCTTCAGATATTGATATGATGTGGCTCTGTGTCCTCACCCAAATCTCATCTGGTAGCTCCCATAATTCCCACGCGTTGTGGGAGGGACCTGGTGGGAGATGACTGAATCATGGGGGCGGGTCTTTCCTGTGCCGTTCTTGTGATACTGAATGGGTCTCACAAGATCTCATGGTTTTAAAAATGGGGGTCTCATACACAAGCCCTCTCTTGTGGCTCCTGCCATTCATGTAAGATGTGACTTGCTTCTCCTTGCCTTCCACCATGATTGTGAGGCCTCCCCAGCCTCGTGGAACTATAAGTCCAGTTAAACCTTTCTTTTGTAAATTGCCCAGTCTCGGGTATGTCTCTATGAGTAGCGTGAAAACGGACTAGAACAGATAACGTTATTTTACCTCCCTTCTACACCTCATGTAAAATGAGGGTAATAACAGCTCCCACCTCCTGGTGTCTTTGTGAGGATTAAAAGGATAATCTGCTTAAAGAATTTAGCCTTGATTCAGGAATGAGTACAGCTGCTCAGTGAATGTTAGGTAAATGAACACACACACGCACATACACATACGGGCACAGTGGATATTTATGCTATTAAACTTTGACTGTTTAGAGACCAGCTTTCTGAAACCTGGGCTCTTCTGAAACAGTCTAAGCAGAGAGGTCACCCCAGCCCCACCCTTTTGACAGGGAAGAGGCAGTTAGTTACCGAGTGCCTAGTGAGAAAGAAACAACAGAGTAGATCCAAAGCCAAAGTCTCACCTCACACAGTGGGATTGGTCAGTGTATCCTGTGGATAAAAGAAAGGCTGGGAATTATCCTCCTGTGTGAAAACTGAGGCACATAGGAAGGGTCAGAAGAGAAAAGCGAGGGAAAAGAAGGGGCAAGAGGGAGGAGCTCAGATGAAGGGATTCTGCATGGCCAGTACTCAGGGTGGACAAAAGACATAGCAAGAAGAGTATGCCCGCAGTCCATCCATCCTAAGAATTTTATAATTACAAGCAATTTTCCAAGTCTGTGCCTTTCTTGGGAGTTTTATATTGAGGCTGGGAGCAAGTTCTGGTTGTTCTGTGTAAAAAGCTCTGATTGGCTTTTTGGTTGGACCATTGGTTGTTTCATTCACTCATTCACCCATTCATTCAATTCTTTCTTTTTGACATCCTTTATATGATTATTAACTTGTTCCTAGTAAGTGTTGGGTACTTTGTAGTACTTGCAGTAACTGATTAGACTCACTTCTTTATCCATATTAAGATCTTAAACTACCTCTCTGCAAGTGACAACATTATTTTCTAATTGTTTAATTTCTCACTGTCTTAACATTACCTTTTGTGACAGCGCTTATTTCATTGGGGATTTTTTTTATTCTCCCAGAATTCATGATAACAACCACTGTTCTGAACCAATTGCTTCATTTGTTATATCAGTTGTGTGCCTACACTATAATGCATTTGTCACTTGTCTACATATTAGTAATTTATTTCATGTTTAACATATGCTATATAAATCCATCTTTTGAAATCTTTATTATCAATTAAAAGCATTATAGAAAAAGAAGTCTCTTCTGGAGGTCGACAAAGTAGTTCAGCTCTTATATGAAATCTTTTCTTTCTTTCTTTTTTTTTTTTTTGAGACAGAGTCTTGCTCTGTGTCACCCAGACTGGCTTGCAGTGGCATGATCATGGCTCACTACAACCTTGACCTTCTGGGCCCAGGTGATCCTTGCACCTCAGCCTTCCAAGTAGCTGGGACCACAGGCATGCATCACCATGCCTGGCTAATTTTTTAACTTTTTTAGAGATTGAGTCTCCCTACGTTGCCCAGGCTGGTCTCGAACTCCTGAGCTGAGGCCGTCCTTCCACCTTGTCCTCCCAAAATGTTAGGATTACAGGAATCAGCCACCCACCTGGCTAAATCTTTTAACTATTTCCTTAAGAAAAGATGTAGTGCGATTATTAACTATGTCTAGAATAAGCAGACTCCAAATACATAATAAAAAAGTTAATTTTTTTAGACTAGATTTTTGTTTCGGGGTAATTACCTTCCCCAACCCAAGGCAGCTTTATGTTGTTAACAGAATTGGTTTTCTTGCCTAAATCCTATTACTATGAAAAGAAGGTCTAGCTTAATAGATAGAGCAGTAAGTGACAAGGATGTTCTTTATGGAATTGTAAACTGTGCCACTTTCGCATGAATAAGATTGACTTTGTCAATTGATCACTAACATTTTTCAGATTAGTTTTAAGCTAGATATAATTACAGACATATCTTAGTTTTTGTGCAGAATATCGTAATTTGCAGAAGAGTTTCATGCACTTAATCTCAGTTGTATAATGTAGGCAAGGAGAGCTCTCTGGCCTCTTTTTAAAGATGATGGGACCAAGGGAGATTGTGACTTGCCTAAGGCCACGTTATTGACATGGCTTATTATAGACAGAATCCAGTTTTTAGTTCAGATCTTCCTAATTCAAAAATAAGCATTCCTCCCAATGGTATACCCATCAATGTGTCAAAACTGAGCCAATAAAAAGGCCTAATTTATTATTAGGTGACAGATTGCTGTGGTTCCAAATATATGCCTTAATTTTATTTGAAAAAGAAAATGTTGGGAATAGAATATTTGTACCCAACTTTGAATTTTGACTTGGATTTTATTGCATGCTCCTACGTTTTAATTCTGCATTAATATTTCTTTTGCCATACTTCACAAAAAATCATACCATATCCTTTGATTCCCCTGGCCTTCACTGATAATCAAAAATGACTCCCGTCAAGTCTCCTACATGATATTTTTTAACAAGTTCCATTTTATATATTCTATTTCAGTGAAATCTTTAGCCCCAGAAAATGTTTTCAGCATGGATTTTTAAAATGCTAAGTGAATTGTATTTCTGCCTGGTGAGTTATTGCCTTAAAGGGGTTGGGAAGTTGCAACACATAAAGCGTTTCCGTTTTGTAGTATAAATTTCAGGAAGCCCAGTGTCAGGTTCAGCGTGATTGAACATGTGCATCAATCTGTGTTAACACCAGCTGGAAAAGCTTGCCACTGTGTGCAGTGGACTTCCTTTGATTTAATAGGATGCTAAATGTATTTTGCCCTGGGAGAAATGCCGGCAGTGCTAACGTTCCGGATTTAATTTTTTTTTTTTTTAAATTCCAGAGGCATGTCTCTAAATACAGTTGTTATCACCTCAATACATATATAATATCTTACATTTATGTAGCCTCTCCCTTTGAGGCATCTCCTATATATTATAGTGTTCCTATGTTAAAAGAAAAAAAAAGCAAGGTTATACTGAGTCAGACCCAAATGGTATTGCATGCGTGTGTGAGTGTGAGAGTTTCTTTCAGAGTGCAGTGGGAGTTTGAAAGGAGTGAAGTGGGTGACAGTTGTCCCTCATGTTGTCAACACCTGAAATCTAGGCCTTACCGTGACATCATGGATCAGTCTTTCATATTTATATTTAGACCTTTCCAGAATTCTTCACATTTTCAACTGAGTATTAATTCCCTAAGTTGACTACCCATTACACAAAAGCATCTAATTGTACCATTTATACTCCTGTGAAGTTTTGGGTGATAGCATTCTAATATTAGTAAATAAGCTTATGCTCATTTTTTCAACATACGTAGAGTGATTTTAACACGCCTAGTACTCTCTGTTGCCTTTTATATTTGCTGTTTTAAAAATATCGGCTCTTCTCCTTGGACAGCCCCTATTGAATCCATCTTAACCATACCAGAATCTGACTTCCAACCCCATATACATTATATTTCTGTAATCAGTTCAGTTTGGGGAGCACTGGTTAAATGAAACATACATAACCCTTACCTTCATGAAGAAAATCTTTGAAAGAAAGAAACAGCTGCACAAATAAACATTACAAAATGGCTGCTAGAATGTAAGCTTCCCCAAGACATTGGTTTAAGCCACCCTCATCTCTCACCTGGGTTGCTAGAGTAACCTTTCAACTGGTTTCCTGCTTCCTACCTTCCCTTTACAATCCATTCTTCACCCCGTAGTCAAGGTGATCTTAGAAAATTACAGAGTGGATTGTATGCCTTTGTCAATTAGAGCTCTTTAATGTTCCCTAGGAATATTTAAGGCCCATCTGGCACCCATGGTTTCCATGCTACTTATCACCCTCACTCACTCATGAGCCGCTGTCAATAACCTCCTCTCACTTTTTCATGATCTTTGCTCTCTCCTTGGAATTTTCACCTGAATATTTTTGCAGCTCATACCACACAATTCATACATTCTAAGTGTACAATTCAGTGTTTTTTAGTATGTTCAGAGTTGTACAACCATTACCACAACTTTAGAACATCGTTTGTTACCTCAAAATGAAATGCCATACCCTTTTCTTTCCCACTCCAATCCGTCCATCTCTCCTAGCCCTAAGGGTTTTATAGTTTGGCTCTTACATTTATATCTTTGATCCATTTTGAGTTAATTTTTGTATGTGATATGAGCTAAGGATTCAGTTTTATTCTTTTGCCTGTGGCTGTCCTGTTGTTCCAGCACCATGTGTAGAAAAGACTGTTCTCTTTTTATCAAATGGTCTTGGCACTCTTGTCAACAACCAATTGACAGCAGATATATAGTTTTATTTTTGTACTTTCAATGCTATTTCACTTATTTATATGTCTATCCTTATGCGAGTACCACACTATCTTTAGTACTGTTGCTTTGTAGTAAGTTTTTAAATTGGGGCATGTTAGTTTCAACTTTGTTATTCTTTTTCAAGATTGTTTTAGCTATTTTGAGGCCTGTGAGTTTCCAAATGAATTTTAGAATCAGCTTGTTAATTTATACAAAGAAGCCAACTTGTGTTTTGGTAGAAATTGCACCGAATTTGTAGATTATTTCAGGGATTATCATAATCTCAACAATATGAAGGCTTCAGTTCAGATCCATGAACATGGGATATTTTTTCCATTTATTTAGATCTTCGATTTCTTTCAGTAATGTTTTGTAGATTTCAGAGTTTTTGATACTTTTGCTAAATTTTTTCCTAAGCATTTTATTACTTTTGTTGCTATTATATATGAAATTATTTTCTTAATTTTACTTTTGGGTTGTTGGTTGCTAGTATGTGGGAAGACAGTGGATACTGTATTGATTTTATATTTTACAACCTTATGAACTCAGTTATTCTCATTGTTTTTTAGTGGATTCCTTAGAATTTTCTCTTTATGAGAGCTGTTTTACCTCCTCCTTTCCAATCTGGATGTCTTTAATTTTATTTTCTTGGCAATTACTTTGGCTGCAACTTCTAGTACAGTGTGGAATATAGATGGCAAGAGCAGACATCCTTGTCTTAAATCTTAAGGGGAAAGCATCCAGTCATTCACCATAGAATATTATGTTATCTGTAAGATTTTTTTGTGTAAACCTTGTCAGATTTTACAAATGCCCTTCTATTTTTTGTTTGCAGAATGATTTATCATGAAATGTTGAATTGTGTCAAATGCCTTTTCTATGTCTATGTGGCTTTTATTTTTTGTATCTTCCTTTTTATATATTTCTGGATTTCATTTGTTAGTATTTTACTTAAAATTTTTCCACGTTCATGAGGGATATTAGTTTGTAGTTTTCTTCTGGTATTATAGTATCTTTGTATAGTTTTTGTTTCAGGACTATCGAGTCTCATAAAATGAGTAAAATTTGATAGTTTTTCTTTTTTGAATGTTTGAAAAAATTCATTATTGACGCCATCTGGGTCTTGAATTTTCTTTGTGGGAAAGTTTTGAATTATGAATTGAGTTTTTTGATATAAGGCTCTTCAGATTTTCTGTTTCCTCTAGAGTCTTTTGGTAATTCTCATGTCTTAAAAATGTACATTTTGGCCGGGCACGGTGGCTCACGCCTGTAATCCCAGCACTTTGAGAGGCTGAGGCGGGTGGATCACCTCAGTTCGGGAGTTCAAGACTAGCCTGACCAACATGGAGAAACCCCATCTCAACAAAAAATACAAAATTAGCCGAGTGTGGTGGTGCACACCTGTGATCCCAGCTACTCGGGAGGCTGAGGCAGGAGAATTGCTTGAACCCAGGAAGTGGAGTGAGCTGAGATCACACCATTGCACTCCGGCCTGGGCAACAAGAGTGAAACTCCATCTCAAAAGAAAGAAAGAAAGAAAATGTGTAGTCCCAGCTACTCAGGAGGCTGAGGCAGGAGAATGGCGTGAACCTGGGAGCCGGAGCTTGCAGTGAGCCGAGATTGCGCCACTGCACTCCAGCCTGGGCGACAGAGCGAGACTCTGTCTCAAAAAAAAAAAAAAAAAAAAAAGGAAGAAAATGTACATTTCTTGCAAATCAAAACCACAATGAGATACCATCTCACACCAGTTAGAATGGTGATTATTAAAAAGTCAGGAAGCAACAGATGCTGGAGAGGATGTAGAGAAATAGGAACACTTTTACACTCTTGGTGGGAGTATAAATTAGTTCAACCATTCTGGAAGACAGTGTGGCAATTCCTCAAGGATCTAGAACCAGAAATACCATTTGATCCAGCAATCCCATTACTGGGTATATACCCAAAGGATTATAATTCATTCTACTATGAAGATACATGTGCATGTATGTTTATTGCAGCACTATTTACAATAGCAAAGACTTAGAACCAACCCAAATGCCCATCAATGATAGACTGGATAAAGAAAATGTGGTCCATATACACCATGGAATACTATGCAGCCATAAAAAAGAATGAGTTCATGTCCTTTGCAGAGACATGGATGAAGCTGGAAGCCATCATTCTCAGCAGCCTAACATAGGAACAGAAAACCAAACACCACATGTTCTCGTTCATAAGTGGGAGTTGAATGATGAGAACACAGGGACAACAGGGAGGGGAACATCACACCCTGGGGTCCGCTGGGGGGGTGGGGGGCAAGGAGAGGGAGAGCATTAGGACAAATACCTAATGCATGTGCGGCTGAAAACCTAGTTGATGGGTTGATAGGTGCAGCAAACCACCATGGTACGTGTATATGTACGTAACAAACCTGCAAGTTCTGCATAGGTATCCTGGAACTTAAAATAATTTTTTTTTAAAAAGTACATTTCTTCTGAGTTAGTCTGTATTGTCCCCATTTTTATTGTTAATTTATGTTTTCCATTTTTCCCCCCTTTGATTGATTGGTCCAAATAGCTGATTGTAGTTTCACTGAGTTATTTTATTCTTTGTTTTGTATTTCAATGATTTGCTTTTCTTCTTCTGAGTACAGCTGGCTGTGATTTTTCTAGCTTGTTTAGGTGAAAGCTTACGTGATTGATTTTCAGTTTTTCTTCTTTTTTTTTGAGACAGAGTCTTGCTCTTTCACACAGGCCAGAGTCCAGTGGCGCTATCTCGGCTCACTGCATGCTCCGCCTCCTGGGTTCACGTCATTCTCCTGCCTCAGCCTCCTGAGTAGCTGGGACTACAGGTGGCTGCCACCGGGCCCAGCTAATTTTTTGTATTTTTTTTTTAGTAGAGACGGAGTTTCACTCTGTTAGCCAGGATGGTCTCGATCTGCTGACATCATGATCCGCCTGTTTTGGCCTCCCAAAGTGCTGGGATTACAGGCGTGAGCCACCGTGCCCGGCCTCTTCTTTTTTAGTGTAAGCATTTCAAGTTAGAAGTTTTTCTCCGTTGTTTTAGCAGCATCTCACACATTCTGTAATTTCATTATCATTCAGTTTCAAATATTTTCTTTTGTAAGACCTGGGGCCTGTTATTTAGAAATTGAGAATTTGTTTGTTTTCAAGTATTCGGAGATATCCGAAACATTTTGTTACTGATTTCTAATTTAAATTATGTCCTGATCAAAATTCATAGTCTATATAATTCTAGTCCTTCACAATTTGTTGATTTGTTTTATGGGCCTGCGTATTCTCTAGTTGGTGAATTTTACATGCACACTTAAAAGTTTTATGTGCCCCATCAGTGTTCCATAAATGTTAGGTTACATTAGTTGATATGTTATAACTCCCAGTAATATTGTTTTTTTTTTTCCTTAAGTTAGTTTTCTTAAATAACTTTAGAGAGGAGGAAAAAGTTTTTCACATTGACTGCCGCTTCTCTATTTACCATTTCTGATGCTCTTCTTTCCTTGATGTAGATAGGCGCTTCCATCTGGTATCATTTGCCTTTATCCTGAAGAATTTTTTCTTTTGTATTTATTGTAGTACAGTTCTTTTTGGTCATTAATTAGCTTTTGTTTATCTGAAATATTTTTATTTTGTTTTCAGTTTTTGGAGGAATTTTTTTTCAGGATATGAAATTTTAGGTTGACAGGTTTTTTATTTTTTTTACTTCTACCTTGCTTCAAGGGTGTTTTCTTGTCTCTGGTTTGCATTGTTTTAGTGTCTTTCTTACATTGTTCTCTGTGTCTATTTTTCTGTGGCCTCTTAAAATTTTCTGTTTATCATTGGGTTTTAGCAGTTTCTCATGTAACATGTTCTTTATTTCTTTTTGACAGTTTTATGGAGCTTGTCTCATATATGGGTTTATAGTGTTCATAAAGTTTGATAAATTTTCAGCCATTTTTTAAAATTAATTGATTGGTTGGTAGGTTAGTAATTTTCAGCCTTTTTTTTTATTGATTGATTGATTTCCCATCTCTCTCTCCTCTCCTAGAACTTACATTACTCTTGTGTTAGATCACTTGATATCTTCCACAGGTCACTTATACAAAACTTTTTATCTTGTTTTGTTTCTTTTCATCATCTTCCCCCCTCCCCTCCCCCACCATCCCCCTTTTGGCTTCAGTTTGGATAGTTTCTTGTGCACTGTCATTAAGTTCAGTGATTTTTTTTGTTCTGTAGTGTCTAATCTCCTGATAAGCATATTCAGTAAGATTTATTGTTTCAGATGTTGCATTTTTCACTTCCAAGTGTATGCAAGGTATAGCTCTTTTTATAATTTCATTTCTCAATTTAGATACTATTTATTTCCTTATTATGTTCATGTTTTTCTTTAAATCTTTGCACATATTTTAAATTGCTGTTTTAACATTTTTATCTGGTAATGTAATTTCTGATTCTGTTTGCATTGATGGATTTTTCTTTTGTTTGTAAGCCACTTTTTTCCTCTTACTCTGAATGTCTAGTTTTCTGTGGGTTTTTTTGTTTTTTGGTTTTTGGTTTTTACTGTATCGTAGACATTAAGAATAGTACATTTTTGGTTGTATGAATTCTTTTTGTCTTTTTTTATGGTCTGTTGGGTTTCATTCTAGCAGGTCGTTAATTTTTGGTTAGCTTGATTCTTTCAGGGCTGGTTTTTAATGCCTGTTAGACTTGGTCCTTACTAGTCTTTACTCCTGGGCTAGATTAACCCTAATCTTAAGACTTCTGGGATTACTGCCTCTTGACCAGGGTGCTTAGTAACATCGTTACTCTCTGGCTGATCAGAGTGTGAGTGTTTTCTAGTTCTGTGAAAACTCCAGTGATTGTTTAGCTTATATCTTCCTTGTAATTGGTCTTTCCCTGGTAGTTATATCTTCCTTGTAGTTGGTCTTTCCCTGGTAGTTTTTGTTTTTTCTTTCCCAGCCTTTAGGAGTCTTGTCCTGAACATTGTAGTTAATATTTGGCAAAGATTCATGGGAATTCCTGTGCAGCTTTCTGGGCCTCTTTTTCTTCATAGCTCCTTTCCTGCTATGCCCTCCTTGCCCCACAAATTCCAGCTCCTTGAGTAGCCTCAAACTCTGATTTCTGTCCTTTCAATTCAGCATTGCCACTGTATTGTTTGATCCACTCTTGCACAGCTGTCTGGAAATGCTTCTCAGAGAAAACCAGAGTGAATGTGGAGTTTTCCTTACTCATTTTCCTTCCCTCATGCATCATAGTCCTGTGCTGCTTGTTTCCTGATACGGTTTGGCTGTGCCCCCACCCAAATCTCATCTTGAATTGTAGTTTCCATAATCTCCACATATGGGAGGGACCCAGTGGGAGACAAATGAATCATAGGTGCTGTTAGTCCATGCTTCTGTTCTTGTGATAGTGAGTTCTTACAAGCTCTGATGGTTTTATAAAGGGGTTTTTCCCCTTTTGCTTGGCACCTCTCCTTGCTGCCGCTACGTGAAGAAGGACATGTTTGCTTCCCCTCTGCCATGATTGTAAGTTTCCTGAGGCCTCCCCAGCCATGCTGAACTGTGACTCAATTAAACCTCTTCCCTTTATAAATTATGTAGTCTTGGGTATGTCTTTATTAGCAGTGTGAGAATGGACTAATACATTGCCCAATATCTAGAAGCATTTCTATTATACATTTTGTCCAGTTACTTCAGAATGCCAGAAGCAAAAGTCTGGATTAATTTTTGATAACTGCCAATGTGGAAAGGTATAATTATTTTTCTGCTCTTTTCTTACCCATTTACACAACCGCCAGAGGTTATTTTTGCTCAGGTCATTCCCTCAACCCTGCATTCACTGGCTGGATTCCATAGCAGACATAGCGGTATTAGGATGCATATCAGACTTCATGTTATGTACACATGTTCTTTAAGACCATTTTCATCTTTATTCTTGGTATTAACAAGTTTTTAACCCCTAGAATAATTTCTTGGTCTTTATTGCTTTTTAACTTATCTGTTAATGCACTATTATAGCCGAGACCAACTGTATTAGTTTGCTGGGTCTGCCATAACAAAGTGCCAAAGACTGGGTGACTTAAGCAACAGAAATAAATTTTCTTGTGTTCGTGGAGATTAGAAGTCTAATGTCAAAATAACAGAATTGGTTTCTTCTGAGGGTTTAAGGGAATGATTTTTTCTAGACCTCACTCCTTGGCTTGTGGGTGGCCCTTTTCTCCCTGTGTCTTCACTGTGCCTTCCCTCAGTACCTGTCTGTGTTCAGCTTTGCCCTTCTTGTAAGGACAACAGTCATATTGGATTAAGATCCACTCATATGACCTCATTTTAACTAAATCATCTCTGTGAAGTCACCATTTCCAAATAGTCACATTCTGAGATATTGAGGGTTAGGATGGAATTCAGCCCATAACACCAACCATTTCTCATGTTTCTTACTTTTTGCTGCTGAGCCTTGGTGTAAAACTTGATATCCTGTGATACTGTTGCATTGTTCACCTGCTTATTCATGTCATCATTCTTTTTCATTATTGCAACAATAAGTCAAGTTACCTTAAGCCATTATTTTTCATCTTTTCAGAAATCTTTGAGAAACAAGTGAAACCTATGGAGATAACCCCCCCAATATATATTTTCACATATGACATTTTACATCTAATTTGGAGAGTTTTAAGATGCCCCCATATCCACGCATGTGCCCTTTAGTGCAGAATTCCCGCCCCAAATATTCATCATTGTAACCCTTTATTCTAGGTTCCATCCACTGACTGGTATAGATGTCATTCATGTATAACTACCAGATTTCCCCCTGAATCACATGCAGATGAAGAAGAGTGTGTGAGCACAGGATTCATGAATGCCTAGTGCAGGAAGTTATAGGTATTGAAAGGGAAAAGCAATACATCACTCATTTGATCTGCTCTCTTTCAGATCATAGGATGTAGTGGTAGATGGTCACATATTAAACTTTAAAGAGGTGTTGGCTTTCTTCCCCCTTGCATTTAAAAGGTGATGTGCTGCAATGTGAGACAAATCATGATTCACTACAACAGTGTTGCAGTCAGTTATATAAATTGCCAATGAAACACTAAATCTGTCACTTTGTGTGTTCCGACAGTTTAGCAATTGGAGTCGTGTTGGAAGAGGGCTGACTGGGAACAAAAGAAGCTGATATAGTGGCAGATGCAATTAGCAAGATCAATGGTTAGTGTTAAAGGTTCATTGTTTGGTCATTTTGGTTGACTGAATTGAAAGCAATTGCTATCTAAAAGACTTTGCCAGCTGTAATTTGCTATAAGAGAATGCAGAAAAGTTAGTTGCCCAACTTTATAACATCTTGGAGACTGTTATTTCTCAACTTGCTGTGTTCCTAGGACAGTGACCAAAAGATTCAGCTTGTTCTTCTCATTCAAGCTCATTCAAGCTTTTAATAGATACTCTAGAATTTCTGCATGTTCAGTATATATACGTTTTTTACTTTAGCTGTTCACCTACTTCTTTCACAAAAATTTTTGGGTCCGTGTTATAGCCTTTATAACAGTTCTTTGAACCCTAATTTATTACAGCTTTCTGTTGCTTCAGACTATGAGAGTTTTCGCTGATCACTACTTGAACTATAGCAAACACCACTTTGAATAACATTGGGTTTTCTGTTTTTGTTTGTTTGTTTGTTTTGCGACAGAGTCTCACTCTGTCACCCAAGCTGGAGTGCAGTGGTGTGATGTCACTTCACTGCACCCTCTGCCTCCTGGGTTCAGGCAACACTCCTGCCTCAGCCTCTTGAGTAGCTGGGATTACAGGCACCTGCCACCACGCTTGGCTCATTTTTTTTTTTTTTTTTTTTTTTTTATTGTCGTAGAGATGGGGTTTCACCATGTTGGCCAGACTGGTATTGAACTCCTGACCTCAGGTGATCCGTCCATCTCGGCCTCCCAAAGTGCTGGGATTACAGGCATGAGCCACCATGCCCAGCCGGGTTTTCTATTTTAATAAGATTTATATAACTTTGCATTTCAGTGCCTTAAATTGACCAGTTTTTAGAAATGAATATAGGTGAAAATATTTGCCTAGTAATGATGATGGCTGATGATACTAATAGTCCATTTATGAGTGCTTATCTTCCCTAAGATAGGTCATCTTAAATAAGATATTTCTGTGAGCTGGAGTTACTTTTTTCCCATTTTACAGATGAGGAACCTTAAGCTTAGAGTAACCTGTCAAAGCCATGCAGGTAGACTTTATCAAACTCCATCCATGCTTCCAACCTTGGAAGTTAACCAAGAGCTTTTAACCACTTCTGCAGAAGTGGTTAAGAACCTATGAAATGTTTATTAAATTCTTATCTAATATCTTCGTAAGCCTTTCTGAAAGGCACAAAAGGTATGACCCAGTTCTGTTTCTAACAGAGCTACTAACCTAGTGAAACTTGAAGAATAGTTAACCTGTTAAATTGGAACACCAGGTGTCACTGCAGTAGAAATGTAGCCTGGGCAGAAATCATCATGGCTTGAGATAGTCTAAAAAAGCTTCTGCAGTATCTTAGTCAGCTTGGGCTGCTATAACAAAAATACCATAGACTGGGTGACTTAGACAGCAGAAATTTATTTCTCATGGTTCTTTGGGCTGGGAAATCTGAGATCAAAGTGCTGGCTAATTCATTTCCTGGCAAGAGCTCTCTTTCTGGTCCCAGGTGACACATCCTTTCTGTATCATCACATGGCAGAGAGATCATTTTTCTTGTGTCTGTTCTTATAAGAGCACTAATCCTATTTATAAGGGCTCCACTCTCATGACCTAATTCTCTTCCAAGGACCCTACTTCCAAATACCATCACATTAGCACTTAGGGCTTTAACATATGGATTTGGAGGGGTCATAAATACTCAGTCCACAGGAAGTAGAGGTGAGATTTTAGCTGGCACATAGCAGAATCAACAATGGTAAGAGAAAATGCAAAGCAGTGGTATATATTACATTTCATGACTTGAATATAAATTTAAACTGTTGTTAGGCTATGGTCTCTGTCCCTTTGTGTACTTCCCATGAGCACTCATCAGAACTGCTTTTCATTCAGTTAGGTCTTCTGTGACTAGTTGGGTAATACTGAGGCATCAGTTTGGTGGAAGCTACTGATACTGTACTTCCTCATTTAGCCCAGTTGGTTCTCAGAGTTTATAAGTCCATTGGCCCCTTAAGGAAGTCAATGAAAGCCATAGATTCTGTCTAGGAAAAATTGTATATACTTGACCATGGGACCTGGGATTAAATATCTCTGCCCTGTCCCAACAATATCGGCTTATCTTAACCACTCTCAAAAGCGTTGGAGATAAATGGCAGAAAGCTACTTTTTATACCTCAGTAGAAAAAAAAAAATGAGCAAGAACAGATATTTCACAAGAGAAGATCAATGACCAAGCCTATAAAAAACTGGTCAGCCTTAGTAGCAGTCAATGAAATGCAGATTAAAACAAGTTACTATTTTTTAGAATATCGATTAACGAAGATTTTAAAAATGATAATGCAAAGTGATAGTAAAGGTTTGGTGCAATAGACATTTTCATGCATTGCTGTTGGATTGTAAATTAGCGTGTTAATTCTAGACCCATTTTTGGAGTATATGCCAGGCACCGTAAAAGCTTCCAACCTTTTGTTGCAGTAAGCTCCCTTGGAATTCTATCATCAAGAAATAATCAGGAACTCAGAAAAGGTTAGTATAAATATGTTTCTTGCCACAGTATTTTTTTTTTTTTTTTTGAGACGGAGTGTCGCTCTTTCGCCCAGGCTCGAGTGCAGTGGTGCTATCTCGGCTCACTGCAAGCTCCGCCTCCTGGGTTCACGCCATTCTCCTGCCTCAGTCTCCCAAGTAGCTGGGACTACAGGCGCCCACCCCCGCGCCCGGCTAATTTTTTGTATTTTTTAGTAGAGACGGGGTTTCATTTGCCACAGTACTTTTAACAGTAGAAGCTTTGAGCCACCTTGATATAAAAATGGTTAAATTAACTAGTAGATGATGGAACATAAAATGACACGAGAATACTTATAATAGCACATTATAAGATTGCATTTACAAGGCCGGGTGCCATGGCTCACGTCTGTAATCCCAGCACTTTGGGAGTCTAAGGCAGGTGCATCAGGAGTTCTAGACCAGCCTGGCCAACATGGTGAAACCCCATCTCTACTAAAAATACAAAAATAAGCTGGGCGTGGTGGCGGGCATCTATAATCCCAGCTACTTCAGAGACTGAGGCACAAGAATCGCTTGAACCCAGGAGACGGAGGTTGTAATGAGCCAAGATCACGCCATTGCACTGCAGTCTGGGCGACAGAGTGAGACTCAGTCTCGCTGAAAAAAACAACAACATTGCTTTACAGTGTGATTCCAGTTACAGAGAATATTCACATAGGTGCATAAATAAATGAAAAAATTATTGGTTAATGTCTCTGTATGTTGGGATTCTCAGTGATTTTATTTTTCTACTTTTTATTTTTTATAATTTCTCCAGTGTGTTGGTGTTAGCTTTATAGATTATATCAAGTAACCTTTTGCTGCACCAAAAAACCCCCCAAATCTAGTGGATTAAAACAAAACCATCTTACAATTTTGTCAGAACTGTCTAAGCTGATATTTACTGGGCTCTCTCCTGAATGTGGGGTCAGCTGGGGGGTTGGCTAATAGGGTACCCTAGGATGGTCTCACTCATCTGTGGTGGTTGGCAGACCGTTGTCCAAGACACTGCACTTCTCTTCCGGGTGGCTTCTCACGCCTTCTGATGTGCTAGCTTGGGTTTGTTCACATGGTGGTCTCTTCCAGGGATAGTACAAGGTACAGCTCACGTGCATGAGGTGCAAGTTGATACAGTTTGGATGTTTGTCCCCTCCAAATCTGATGTTGAAATTTGATCCCCAGTGCTGGAGGTTGGGCCTGGTGGGAGGTCTTTGGGACATTGGGGCGGATCCCTCTTGAATGGCTTGGTGTGTCCTCATGGTAACCAGTGAGGTCTTGCTTTATGAGTCCCCAGGAGAGCTGATTCTTAAAAAGAGCCTAGCACCTCCCTTCCGTCTTGCCCTCCATCCTCTCGCTGTCATCTATACACAACAGCTCCCCTTCCCCTTCTGCCTTGAGCGGAAGCTTCCTGAAGCCCTCACAAGAAGCAGATGCTGGCGCCATGCTTCTTGTGCAGCCTGTGGAACCAGGAGCCAAATAAACCACTTTTCTTTGTAAATTACCCAGCCTCAAGTATTCCATTATAGCAACACAAAAATGGACTAAGACATAAGCCCAGGTACACAAGCACTTTCCAAGTCTGTTACATTCACATTTGCTAATGCCCTCTCTATTGACCAAAGCAATTCACTTGATTAGGCCCAGAGCCAGTGTACAAGGAAACACCAGGGGCATGGAAGGTACAGAGGAGAGGGCGGGATGATCACAGCTGTTTTTGCAAACAATCTTTGACATAAACAGTGATATCAATGCCATAAAAAAGAAAAATAAACCCCTAACCCATCTGAATCCTAGTGCAGAGCCTTCTGAGAGTGATAGTATCTTTATGTTTTGACTGCTTCAGAGGTCTCCATATCTTTTCATGCCTTTGTGGTTACAAGGAGTAGCGAAGACGGGGGCGGGCAGATCAGTGATCACCTTCCTTGGCCTTCCTTGGCCATCTAGCATACAGTTAACCTTCCTTGACTATCTAGCCTTCAGTTCCCCTACCACTCCCTTTTCAGCCTGAGTGGCCAGGTACTTGGGCTTATCTGTTAATTTTTCTTTCTCTTTCACTGAAACTTCCTGCCACACCCAGAAGAAAACCAATAGCATGGTACTCACAGGGAGGTGAATAGAATTATAATCGAAGAGTGCTCATTTTGTGGGTCTGAATTGGAAGTGTATTTTTGTTTTTGCAATATCACTAATAATGTTTCCTAGCCTTGTGTAAGAATTAAAATGTGTTGCATTTCATTGCAAATTTTCTGTGCCAAGACAAAAGTAGATTATTCTACTCTCACTTTGTGTAACAGGAGGCAAAAGCTTCCATAGATGCTTTATGAATAGTATTTTGAGGCCTAGAAAAATAAGTTGCAGAGTAGCTGAAAGTGCTAATGGAGATAAATACGCGGCATATGTTTGCATAGTGCCTTAGTTTCCTATTGCTGCTATAAACAATGAGCACAAACAGTGGCTGAAAACAGCACCGATTTATTCTCTTATGCTTCTGGAGGGCGGAAGTCTGAGATCTTTTTCACTGAATTAGACTCCACATGTCACCCAAGTCACTTCCTTCAGGAGGCTCTAGAGGAGAATGGCTCCTTGCCTTTCTCAGCTTCTAGTGAGTGCCTGCATTCCTTGGCTTACAGCCCCTTCCTTCATCCTCAGAACCTACCACATCATTCTCTGCTACCGTCATCACATTGCATTCTCCTCTCACTCTGATTCTTCTCCCATCCCTCTTATAAGCACCACTGCAATTATATCAGGCCCACCCAGATAACCTCCCCAACTCAAGATCCTTCACTTATCCACTTCGACAAAGTCCCTTTTGCCTCATGAGCTGATATGCGCAGGTTCCAGGGATTGGGACAGAAATATATTTGGGGAGCCATCACCCCGCCTCCCACACATAGTAACACACCTATGAACCTCATAGTTCCGTTGCGTTTGTGAAAGTGGTTTCTTTCCCCTGCTTCATGATGGGCCTATGTGTCATCTTCTGGATGAGCTGGCTGGTCTGCAGGGTTCTGCCTCACTTCCTGATCCTGATTCCACTGGGATTTGGGTCTGGGTATGATGAAGGGTGTAGGTGTATATGTGACTGATTTTTATTCTTCATATTGGGGAGAAATGAAGTTTATTTTGCTCTCCTCCCTCATTCTATATATTGATATTATGATTAATAGCTTTTGACACCAAACTATTTTGAAATATGAGTCTTTTATGACGTATTTTGACAGCAGCAATGGCATGCTTTTCGCTGTTGTAACAGGAGTAAATGACAGGGGCCACTCGCTCATTATTTTATACCCAAGTAATCAACCAAAGATGTCATGTCCAGAAATAACACTAAAATGTCAACCACCCAAATCTCTTGCAAATAGTCTCATTCAGAGGGTTGGAATCTGCCTTACTGGCAGTTTTGAAAGATACAATTTGTTGAAGACAGGGAGCCCTAAGTGATTTCTTTCTCTCTCCGAGATGCCAGATGGGTGTTGAATGAAGTCCAGTTTTTAGTTTTTCTGTAGATAATTTTTTTAAGTTTGTGGTGGTGTTTCGGATCTTCATCCGTGTGTTCTCCCTCCTCTAGCCCCCCACGGCTACCCACAGCCTGGCAGCGGTATGGTTGCCTTGGTACCTGTTCCTGAAGGCTGTCTGCAATGAAATTTGGTTGTCTAAATAGCACGACTTGTCATCTAAAAGTAGAAGTCATTAGCACGATGCCGTTTGGCTAGTGGTATCTTGAATGCTGTTTTAAAAATTTTCTTATTTTATCACTTTACTGTTACTGTTTACTCATGTCATCACTGGAGATTTCAGGGCCTGCTTCACACTATGGATCCGGAGTGAAAAATACGAAATGTTCTCCCTAAGAGTTTCCCAGAACTTGCGCCAAAAACAGTGGCCCGAGTTGGACATTTTGTATATTTTTAGAGACACAGATTTTGAAATTCCAGCCGTTGTTACCTCGCGTGATCAGTAATACTTGCATATTGGTAGCGGCAATCCATGATTGAACAGCCTTCTGCTGTTTCTGAGGGAAATGAAATTTCTGCCAGCTTCTGTTTGAACTTTAATTGGCCTTCACTGTGGTCGTGAATTTGCCAGAAACACGTATTTATCTCAGAAAAGGTAGCATGTTTTTTAAGTTTGATATAAAAGTTGAATTGGGTGCTTTGGGAGGATTTGTGTCCATTTGCCTCCAATCAAGTTATCTCCTCTGTGAAATTATAACAAAAGATGCAGCCAGGCGGAACATCGTCACTCTTTCCGCCCAGGTGAGTCCACTCTGAAGTCAATGACTCCTGTCACTATAGGTAAGATGGGAGGCCACATCCTGTTCCCTTGTGGTAGGCATCTTGGCAAAAACCACCAACTGGCAGCCTGTGTTGTGAGGAATGCACATTAATTAGTTCCTTGAAACTCTTCCCTCATTAACTTCAGGTAAGTTGTTAAAGCAAATGTTCTGGAGTTCAGAGTGTTGCTTTTGATAATGAGAAAACAAGTTTAGTCATCAGAATCTGTCATCTTGTTTATAAAACAGTCAAACCATATGCAACGCCCTTCTGCATGGTGGATTTTGTTTTGTTCCTTGAACCTACTGGCTCGCTTCATCCAATGCCTACAGATAGTAAATAAAGAGGTCCATTTTTTTAGGTACATTAAATACTACAAATTTTGGGAGGGGAGGTAGAGTAGGAGGGTGGTGGGCAGAAGGCAGCCGGGCCATTTTTTTGGCAACTAATTCAATATGAGAAAAAAGATGGTATTGCTCTCATAAAAGTAATTTATATTCATTGTTTTCAACCAACTGAAACATTCAGAAAGCTAAAAACATTTCAGTCAAATTCCCACCACCTTGAAATAATCAGAAGTATGTTTTGGTGACCATCATTCAAGATACGTTCTTGGCCGGGCGCAGTGGCTCACGCCTGTAATCCCAGCACTTTGGGAGGCCGAGATGGGTGGATCACGAGGTCAAGATATCGGGACCATCCTGGCCAACTTGGTAAAACCCCGTCTCTACTAAAAACACAAAAATTAGCTGGGCGTGGTGGTGGGCACCTGTAATCCAGCTAGTCAGGAGGCTGAGGTAGGAGAATCACTTGAACCTGGGAGGCTGAGGTTGTAGTGAGCCGAGATTGCGCCACTGCACTCTAACCTGGTGACAGAGCAAGACTCTGTCTCAAAAAAAAAAAAAAAAAAAGATACGTTCCTAAGATAGACAGAAAGGTAGGTCAAGAAGCAGGTAACTATATTGACAAATGAAGAAGCATAATATTTTTAAATGTAAATTTGAATCTAAGAAAGGAAAATCAGATGAAGTAATTTCTGAACTTTTACTATGTGAGTCCAAGAATATTAAGCTATTACTTCCTAAAATATTACTGTAAAGTAAAAATAACAATTATTGACAATATTGAGAAGTTTTATATGTATATACACATATATACGTGCATATGTATCTACATTCTATGTATGTTTTATACATATATAACTGTATTTTAAACTGTAATTTTCAAAATAGTTTTGATAGCTTTTTGATTTGTTGCTTATTTGGCTAGATTTAATTGCCAAGAATTTTATTTTTGTTTATTTCAAATATGGTTTATGTTACATATCCTTTGTTCCTGCATACTAGATGCCTTAGTCCATTTTGTGCTGGTTTCACAAAATACTTGAGACTGGGTAATTTATAAATAATAGAACTTTATTTCTTACCATTCTGGGGGCTGGGAAGCCTGAGATCAAGGAGCGGACAGATTCAGTTTTCTGGCGAGGGCTGCATTCCATCTGGTGACACTGCATCCTCTGGAGAAGAGAAATGCTGTGTCCTCCCATGACAGAAGGCAGAAGGGCAAGAGGAATGAACTTCCCTTCTTAAGCCCTGTTATAAGCGCACCGAATACCTTTCACAGGGGTTTAGGTGTGCTTGTAAACATCATGACTTAATCACCTCCTGAAGGCCCCCCGCTCAAGATGCTTTCGTTGATAATTAAGTTTGAACTTGAATTGTAGAGGGAACAGAAGCATTCAGAACCTAACACTTCAGAGTATCTGTTCCTTTCTCATTTAATAGATAATTCGTCTAGGTATAAAAATCTCGAGTCACCTTTTCTTTTACTGGAATCTTGTAGATACTGTCTTTGGGCATTGAATTTCCTTAATGTGATACTGGGGGCTAACTTGAGTTGCCCACTTAATGATGACTTGCTTTCTCTGCTAGGATGTACATAGGATTATTTATTTTTATTTATTCATATTCTCTCTCTCTTCTCCCATCTCTACTATATTTATTAAAGCATCGTACATGTACACAAAAGCGCATATAACATAAGCTTATAGTTCAGCGAATGATCAACATGCCAAAACTCACGACAACTATTCAGGTGAAGAAATAGAACACCACTGGAGTTTCAGAGTTTCCTCTGATCTCCTTTCAGTCATTAGGCAGGCCTTCCTCTCTGCTCAAAGGTAGCTACTTCTTCAGCTTCTAATATCATTGACTTTTGCTGTTTTGGGATTCTACATGAACGGAACCATTCAGTATGCTTTCTGGCTTCTTTCACTCAACATTGCTTCTTGAGATTGATCCCGATTGTTGCATAGAGCAGTATTTCATTCATTTTCCTTGCTCCCATGATATGTGAATTATCTGTGTGTCAGCCCTAGTTCTCGTTTGAGCTACTTACTGGCTTAAGCAACAGCCTTGTCACTTTTGAGTCATTCCCCACTTTGGGACTGGCAGTGAAATAGAGGCTGTCAGTGGGTTGATGAGTGAGCACTATGTCCCCTCCCTCGTTCCTGTCACCTCCTTCTCGGACAGTAAAGTCACTGTTCGTGATTCCCCCTTCTGCTCCTCTTCTGCCACGTGCTGTTAGCAGGGTTTCTCTGGGGATACCCACTGCTGCCCCTTTTCTTTTAGTATGTTCTCACTCAGATCTTAGCCCTTTAGCCAATGGCTCATTTCAGTGGTCTTTTAGGACGGAGAAAAATCTGTGTCATGCTTGCGTTCCAAGGAGCCATGTGTTCATTGCTAATGCCCTCCCTCATTTTGGTCCAGTTTCCCTGTATTCAGCTAATGTTCATTATAGTTTGTGGTGTTGGAGTAATAACCATTTATTTATGAAACCATTTTATTATATTTTATTCTTTTCTCTTTCACAGTAGATTTTAGGGAAGGAGAATATACAGAAATGTTTTTGTTCCTTCCTGTTTAACTGCATGTCTCAGCTGGGCCCGGTGGCTCATGCCTGTAATCCCAGCACTTTGGGAGGCGAAGGCAGGCAAATTACCTGAGGTCAGGAGTTCGAGACCAGCCTGGCCAACATGGTGAAGCCCCGTCTCTACTAAAAATACAAAAAAATTAGCTGGACATGGTGGCAGGTGCCTGTAATCCCAGCTATTGGGGAGGCTGAGGCAGGAGAATCACTTGAACCCGGGAGATGGAGGTTGCAGTGAGCCGAGATCATACCACTGCACTCCAGCCTGGGCAACAACAGTGAAACCCCATCTCAAAAAAATAAATAAAAAGGCATGTCTCATAAATTAGCTTAGGAATAAGTGCATTTAACAACCCAGGACTGATAATGTGAGGATTACTAACATGGTGAATATTTACCATGTTGGTATATCTCTGCACGGGTGGACTGAGTTTCCTTTTGGGGCCATCTCAGTCACCTTCTTCCCCCTCATTTGTCCCAGCGTCCTGCCCTCCACCCTCTAGTCCATCTTCCTGCAGGCCTGGCTGTCCACTGTCCTGTGTTAGCCCTGACACCTGCCAAGCCATCTGAAGCTTCCCATTCTTCTTGGAGGCTGATTAACTCAGAAGAATGCTTTAACCAGAGGGGGTAAACTATAGTATGCGACTAGCTTTATGTTCCTTTATAGGTTTTTAATATCAGCGAATGGAGAATTATTCTATACTGCCTTTGAGTATGAGCTTAATCTCATTCATCATCAAAAAGCATCTGGAATCTGCCATTGGAGCTCTTGCTCAAATGCTTGACTGAACTGTAGGGAGGTGCTTTTTGTTCTAGTGTGTATAATGTGTATAATTTGGTGCCAACATGGCAGCCCCTTCAGATCAGAGCCATAACTTTACAGAAGGAACAGTATCTCTTTAAAAATAGACACAGGTTTAAGATTTAAAGTGACAGCAACATTTTTGAGAAAATTTTTTATCTGAAGGTTGAAAAAACGTTGGATCTTATATAATTAAAGAGAAATGTAACCTTTATGTCTGACTGTATCTTTGCTTTCCAGTTCACCAAAATGGTACCCACAGTTGAAAACACTCATAAGAATAATGAAGTCACATTGCGATGGACTTTGCTCTCCCAGCTCAAATTATGTGCCAACTAATACAGCAAATCGTATGATATATGTGTGTATATATATATATCACATGATATATATGTGTGTATGTATGTCTATATACATATACATATATGTGTGTATGTTTGTGTCTATATGCATATATGTATATGTGTGTATATATACATATATGTATATGTGTGTATATATACATATATGTATATGTGTGTATATATACATATATGTATATGTGTGTATATATACATATATGTATATGTGTGTATATATACATATATGTATATATGTGTGTATATATACATATATGTGGCTGTATACATGTATATATGTGTATATATGTATATAGACACACACATACACATATATACAGATATACACATATGTAGTTTGAGTTATATAAAAAGTGTGCTCTTAAGACAGATAGCTTGCTTTTCTCTAACCTCTATTGTCTGGAATATTGTCTATTTGGCCCTTCTGTAAATGCTATGTAGACCCATAATATCCTTAACTTTAATTTTGGATTTCTTCACTCATGAGTTCTAACTCCATATCCCCAACCTAGCTAGACCTCTCACCTGATACCCCAGATGATAAATCTTATTGCTTGGTGGATATTTTCACTTTCATGTTCCAGAGGCACCTCACATTGTAACAGACCTGAGGTTGGGCTCCTCCACTCCTCTTGAATTCTGTGCTTAGGTCGATGACACCACCATTCATACATCCACCAGCTAGAAGCCTGGGTGTCAGCTCCCATGCTTCATCAAATCCTTTTCCTGGATCAGAGGTTCTTACTTTTCATCTGTTTTCTTAAACAATATTCCCACCTCATTAGTGTGGGATATGTTCCAAGACCCCCAGTGGATGCCTGAACCTGCAGATAGTACTGAACCCTAGAAAAACAGTACTCTGTTTTTCTGATACATGCATACCTTTGATAAAGTTTAATTTATAAATCAGGCACAGTAAGAGATTAACAATAATAATCAAATAGATCAGTTATAACAATATACTGTAATAAAAGCTATGTGAATGTAGTATCTCTCTCTCAAAATATCTCTTCATACTGGACTCAACTATTTTTGGACCATGAGTGACTAAAACCAGGAAAGTGAAACCACGGATAAGAGAGAACTACTATGATAGTACAGTGGCAGTAGCAATAGTCACGGTAGTAATTAATAATAAAAATTTCTCTTGTACTTGCTATGTAGCCGGCTTTGTTCTAACAGCTTTACATTGATGTTTTAATCCCTTAGTAAGGTAAGCACTTATAATCCTTATTTTTAGATGAGGCAACTGAGATGCAGAGAGGGTAAATATGAACTTGTCCAAGTTCATATTGCTAGTACATCTGGGATTCTAATGGCAATGTATGGAAATGGAGAAGGAATACCAGGGCGTCGATTTTCCATTGCAGTTATCAAGTGATTTGCCACCCACGTCTGTCCCACTCAGAAAAGCCTATTGCAATGCAAGAGAATGAGCGTGATACCATTAAAGGGTTGATCTTGGATCTAGTCTAATTTGTGAAGAACATTTTATAAGTCACTCAACCATCATGAGTAACAAATCGCTGGGGAAGTGGCTTAGGCCTCCCAGCCACATGCCAGGAAGCCTGTGTTTGGCAATGACTGTTGCTCTGTACAGAATGGCTCAAGTGTTCTATTGGAAGCAGTTGGACCTTGTGGCTTTCATGCTGTCACCCTTGTATTATTTCTTGGTGTGTCCAGGTAAAGCTGGAGCTCCTTAGCCCAGCCAGAAAGGCAGCTCATGGTGCAGCCCCTGCCTGCCTCTCTGGACTCATCTCCCCTGCTTCCCTGTTTGCATTGTGGTTTTTGCTTTCCGCCTCCAGAGATATTGGAGACTCTGCTGTATTCACTATGATCTGGTTAAGCATCTCCTCCAGAAAGTCATTCCGAGCCTCTTCACTGTTCTCTCTACACTGGGTCAAGAGCCTGTGGTGTTCTCATGAGCTCTTTCTTCAGTATCCATATGAACCACTAGACCAAGAGCACCTGACGGACAAGTTATTTATCTTCATGACACAAACTGTACTAATGGAATGTTTGTGAATGAAAATGTACTTTGATGAACCAGAACCAGATACTCTATTTATTTATTTATTTGTTTGTTTATTTATTTATTTATGTGAGATAGGGTCTTGTTCAGTTGTCCAGGCTGGAGTGCAGTGGTGCAGTCTCAGCTCACTGCAGCCTCAAACTCTCAGGGCTCAGGTGATCCTCCCACCTCAGCCTCCCAAGCAGTTGGGCCCACAGGAGTGCACCACCATGCCCAGCTAATGACTGTATTTTTTGTAGACGTGGGGTTTCGCCATGGTGCCCAGGCTGTCATGGCAGCCCTAACAGATGAATCCAGTGGCATATGAAATAACTGCTAAGAACCATGTGATAGCTGGATGGGGGTTTGTCTGTGCACATATGCACATACACACAAGACATCCACATGTGTGAAAGAGGGTGTTGCATTCCTTAAGAGTAGTATACTTATTTATGTATTCTGTGTAGGATACTTATTTATATGAGAAACTCTAGCGCATGAGAAAATGTTGAACAAGAATTTAAGAGGATTTTCTGTTTACCCTGAGTTTAACTATAAAATTAGAGTTCTTCCCTAAATATTATTGTTAATATTATACATGTTGTTTTTTGCTGTAAAATATTCAGAGATTATCTAAGTAATTCTGCCACTATCTGTCATGATGTAGTGACTATGTGCATTTCTGTTGGACATTTAATTTCTATTTGATAATTTATTTCTGTTCAATATGTATATTTGTAGAATTATTTCTGAGATATAGATGTTCATTGCTATCCAGAATATTTTATGTAATAAACTCTATGTTTTCTGTCATAACTATGGTTAGGTACTGGTTTAGGGATAATCAGCCAGTTGCCTTGACCCCAAAGAACATCAAGATTTATTTGCCATTGCCACTGTCATGTTTCTTTAAAGGGAAGAGACGGGGAAAAAGGAAAGATTGGAAAGAGTTGCGGGAAGGAAAGCAAATGTCCCTTCAGACATGTGATTGTGCCACATAGGAAGGAACAGACCCTGGTTTGAATCCCAGCCTTACTGTGTATTGACCCTGTGACCTTTGGGAGATGAGTTAATCCTTGCACCACATTTTCCTTGGCTGCAAAGCACCTCAATTTGCAGGTTCCTTTGAGGGCTGAGATTATATACATAAAGCATGTGGGCTAGTCTCCTCTGGTGTATATATGCAGAAAGCATTGTCCCCAATCTTGAATTGTTAGATATTCATTTAAGGCAAACATTTTTGTTTTCTTTTTCCTTACTGAATGAGAGAAGCTGGTAAGGAAACGGTGGGATGTGGCCAGGTGATAGGAGCGCAGACATAGCAGCCATTGATGCAGACAGAGCTTAGAGAAGGCGTCATCACCACGCATCACACTGAGCAAGTCTGTGCGGCCCCTGTGCCCATGAGGCTTACAGTGCAGTTGGAAAAGCAGACCAAAGGGAATAAACGTGAACAAGATAATTGCAAAATATAGTAAGTACTGTGAAACAAACCAATAGATTCTGGGAGAAACTAAAATAAGAAGGAGCAACTTTTAGTGGAGACATCCAGGAGGCGTCTCTGAAGAGGTGACAGCAAATAAGTTACGTTTTGGGAAGCAGAGGGGAGAAGAGGGTATTGGGTAGGTGAAGAAGCGCGACAGCCCATGGTGTGTTTGGGTGATACAAGTGAGCCACCATTGTCTGATGGAAAGGGACTGGAAAAGAAACTGGATTGCTGTAAGAATGATTTTGAATGACATTGGGGTTTTTCTGGTTTGTTTTTGTTTTTGAGATGGAGTTTCCCTCAGTTGCGCAGGCTGGAGTGCAGTGGTGCGGTCCTAGCTCACTGAAGCCTCAAATTCCTGGGCTGAAGTGATCCTCTTGCCTCAGCCTCCTGAGTAGCTGGGACTAGAGGCATGCGCCACCACACTCGGCGAATTTTTTATCTTTTTGTAGAGATAGGTTGTCACTGTGTTGCCGAGGCTTGTCTTCAACTCCTGCCGTCAAGCAATCCTCCTGCCTTCAAGCAATCCTCCTGCCTTAGCCTCTCAAAGTGTTGGGATTACAGGCATGAGCCTTACGCCCAGCCAACATAATTTTTTTTTTTTTTTTTTGAGATGAAGTTTCACTCTCTGTTGCCCAGGCTGGAGTGCACTGGCATGATCTCAGCTCACTTCAACCTCCACCTCCAGGGATCAAGCAATTCTCCTGTCCCAGCCTTTCGAGTAGCTGGGATTACATGTGTCCGCCACCATGCCCGGCTAATTATTGTATTTTTAGTAGAGACGGGGTTTCACCATGTTGGCCACGCTGGTCTTGATCTACTAACCTCAGGTGATCTGCCCGCCTCAGCCTCCCAAAGTGCTGGGAATACAGATGTGAGCCACCATGCCGGGCCACCACTTTTTTTGTTGTTACTTTATTTTACAATTTTTAAATACAGTTGTATAAAATTTGAGCCATGAGTCTGACCATTCTGAGAAGGCCTACTTTTGTTTCTCCTAAGATGTGCCATTTACCGTTTTAAATTGTCATCATTGGCTAGGGGACCTGGCTCTCCATTAGATTAGAGGACACCATTTGTTCACATTTGTTGATGTCAGACTACTACCAAACAAAAATTTTTGCCCTTGTGACCATCTCTTTGACTTTCCAGATCAGGATAATCAAATAAAATGATAAATACAAATAATGTATAACATGTCACATATAGTTTATTTACTGCCTAAGGTTGTTATTTTGTGTTTAAAATGATTCTTGCTACTGAGTATAAATTCTGTGTACCCTTTTTTGATGTCAATTTTTATTATATTAATGCTAAGGAATATTAGAATAGTCTGGAATTTGGGAATTGATAGTAGCAAGCTGGAATTTGGGTATGGAAAATGCTGTGTAAACCAGTAGCAAGAAGTGCCAATGCTTGGAGTCAAGCCAGGGCCCAGATATTCAAGCTCTATTTCTTTTTCTTTTCTTTCTTTCTTTCTTTTTTTTTTTTTTTTAAATAAATTGAGCTTTGGAAACACCTTCACATTTGAAAATGACTTTGTGTTTGTTGATTGTTTTCTTTCTTGAGTAGAGTATCATAGTACTTTCTTTTTTTGTTATTTGTTACTGTGACAGTATTTCATATTTTTAACCCAAGACAGTTGGCTTTCCAAAAATACTGGAAACAAATGCATGATGTAATCATCCTCACCCGCGTCCAAAATTGTGGTAGATCTCCACTTTCACTCTGTTATTTATAGTAATGCGTTTTTTTTGTGTTAGGACTGGTAAGTTGCCTAAGTAGATCCTTGAGAGGCGGGATAGACATTTTTTCCCTTGAGTCATATAGTTAATTTGCTTTCATTTTTCTTGAGTCCTACTGTTAAATTTTTGAAGTACAACAGTTTATGTCCTTGGTCTGTGCTTGACTGTGGAGTAATACTAGACAATAAGGCATCCTTTATTTATATTAGCTTTGGTATGTTGTTTTTGCTTTTCTCAGATTTCTCCAGTCCTAAAGAAGGTTATGTACATTTATCTGTGTGTTTACATACATGGTTATATGGAAATAATTGCTTTCAGATAGTTGTGGTTTTCTTTTCATTGTTTCTTCTGAAATATTCTTGTTAAACCTGAGAACAAGTGAAAATGTTTCATGAAAATGCATTAAAATGCATTGTTAATATATAACCTAAAAACTATTGGATTGGTTTATTTTTAGCATGAAGAATTTTGAATTCACTGGAATTTAAGTTACAGTTGTTGCAGTTTTTATGTAGACTTGGCAGTTATGTCACTTATACTTCTTAATTATCTTTGTACATATTTTATATGACATAATATCTGCACACTCACCATCTCCAGCCTCTGTAGAGAATGTAACACATAGCACCAAAGTAATAAAAATATAAGCCCCAGAGCGGGAAGCAAAGCTGAAACAAGCCATTTTTACATATAACTTAAGTTTAGGTTCTGTATAGTAGGTTGATCCCTTACTTAACCTTTAATAAAATTGGATTCAAGGGTATTTATATGTAAATAAAAAAATAAAGTTAATTTCGTTTCATACTTCCCTATGAGCAAGTGTCTAGTAATATATTACAATGACATTTAAACTTCAGTATTTGTCCTATTGGCTGAAAAAATTCCCATACTTTTTTAGCAACAGGGTTTGAGGTTAGACATTAAAAAGGGAAGGTTCTTAAGATGAATATTAAGATTACGTGATCATATGCACAGTGATGAAATCAGTCTGTATTTGTTTGACCTCTTGTCTCCTATGAAGGTATCTAAGAAGTCATTTCCTCCTATTACATATTTTAGAAATTAAAATTTAATAACGCTTCATACCCTCCAAACTTCTCTGAAAGGGCTCTTTAGTTGTACAGGCATCTAGATCATGGTCAGACTCCTTTTCTAAGTAATGTTATCAATAGTGTATTTGTATACGTGGTTATAGATCAAAGGTTGAAATACGCTTATCAGTGCCTCCTGAAGAGGCAGTCCCCTGGAGTCTTCTTATCTCACCTGATGAGTGTGGTCTTTTGGTGCTCATATCATGTATGGAAGGAGGTGGCAGGGATCAGGAGGGCATATCCCCTTTGCCTCTCATTCCCTACCCGACTTCCCAGAGAAAGCAGCATTTTCAAACTTGCAGAAATATGTGAGGGCTCTCAGAACTGCTTAGGATCAGCCATGTACATTGTGAAAAGTGAGTCATGGCTTTTTCTCTGCAATAGTGTAGACGTTTCTACTCTTAAAAATAAAGATAGATTAAAATATAACACCTCAACTCCAAGAGCTCCAAGCCTCCCACAGAACATCGTAGTCCTGCTACACTCAGTTGAACATTTATGCCCTGGCCCTGGCACCCACCTCCCTTAGCCTGCCTGTGAAGGCGTCTCTCTGATGCCCTATCTAGACCCGTTCTTCCTTTTCCTACATTTGAACTTTTTCTGAGATAGTTTCAGTTTCCATAATCTCTGTGTGATGATTTTCATCAAGAATTCCGACTAAGGAGATTTTATTCTTTTAAGAAGATTTGTTCAACATATACTTACATGAGATTTTGTTCTTTTTAAAGACTGTGTAAATAAATTATCTGATTAAGAAAAATTTTTCTACTTTGTTTTGACTCTTGAATAGGGAAATGCTTGCCTATATTTAAATGCAACCTGCTAAAAATACTTGTTCTGACCTATTAGTGAAGTATATCACACTATCTAAAGCAATCTGTAGATTTAATGCACTCGCTATGAAAATCTCGCTGATGTTTTTTGCAGAAATAGAAAATCCCACCCTAAAGTTCATATGGAATTGCAACAGACCTCAAGTAGTCAAAACAACCTTGAGAAAGAACAAAACTGAAGGATTTAACAATTCCTGATTTCAAACTTGCTACAGTTCCAGTAGTCAAAACAGTGTGGTACTGGCCTAAAGGCAGATATATTGACCAATGGAATAGAATAGAGACCCCAGAAATAAATCCTTGCCTAAATGGTCAAGTGATTTTTTGACAAGTGTGCCCAAACCACTCAATGGGGAAAAGACAGTCTTGTTAAGAAATGATGAAGTGAAAAACTACATAGGCATATGCAAAAGAATGAAGTTGGACCCTTGCCTAATAACATATAGAAGAATTAACTCAAAATGAATAAAAAACCTAAATGTAAGAACTACAACTATAAAAATTTTAGGGGAAATTGTAGGATAAAATCTTCAAGACGTTGGACTTTAAGATGACTTCTTGGCTATGACACCAAAGGCACAGACAACAAAAGAAAAAATAGGCAAATTGGACTTCATGAAAATTTAAGAATTTTGTGCATCAAAAGACAACATCAACACAATGAAAAGGCAACCCAGAGCAATATGGCCAATGAGAGTTGCCTAGTGCTCATCCCTCCCCCAAAAGGGGATCTAAACAACAAGTAAACAACTATATTTCAACTAGAGTGACGAGGAAGTATGCTGGACCGCACTAGGGGAGCAGCAAACTTCCTGTGGTGCATGGAAGGCCAGGACAGCACCATGGACAGGTGAGCGAGGCATCCTGCCTCTGCCACAGTCTCCCCCAGTGGAGACTTGGCAGTCATGGGGTGCTGTTTATGGGGAAATGTATGCTGGTGATTCCCAGCAGTCCCCATTGCCACCAGAAATGCTAGCAGTCTTTGATATAGGAGTCCCCTAAACTTCACAGGCCCCCAATCCAGTTTGGAGAGTAGCCGGGAGCTCACACAGATGCAATGCCTCAGTGTCCACATTGAGGACCCGCAACCTAAGCAGCTTCAACTCTGTCCCATCTTGAACCTTTCCCACTGCTAGAGTGCATCCTGCCCTGCGCACCAGTAGCAATTGACTCTTTTCATCCTGGAGGCCTAGCTGTCCTTATACCACATTCACACAGGTACCTGCAGCACTATGACCATAGCTACCCAAAGCATAGGTCACATGGAATGACTGAGACCCCAGTGTTCAAACCCAAGTGACACACCACATCCCCCCACCCCCCAGGGAACAGGCAGATCTGTACGGTGCTGAAGTCACTGAACAGTCAGCCAATTACCTCTCCTGCACGTACCTGCACCATAGCCACCTGTCCCACCAAGCGCGGTGCATCCATAGCTGGTCCAACTGTTGGTCCTGTGGCAGCCTCGTTCCCGCATACAGACACCCAAAGAGCAGCTGAATGCTGCTATTCTATGTCTAGCCTGACAGCTGGTCCAGTAGCAGCCCTCCCTCCCAAATAACTGCAAGGCTGCCCAACCCCATTTCACACTGGCATCCAGCCCAAGAGCTGGGCCAGTGGTGGACCTGCTCCTCTAGACAGACTCCTACAGGGCCACCTGACACAGCTGCACCTATGTGCAGCTGGCACAGCATCAGACCAGTAGACTCTTCATCCATCCTCTTGAAGAGACAGCCACGTAGCTGCTCAGCTAGCCACACCCATATGCACCTAAGCTCAGCCCAACAGCCAGACTAGTGGTGGCCCCACCTCCCTGAAAAGCCTGTTGGAGAGCCTTTTCGCCCTCCACACCCATACATATTCAGCCCAACAGCCAGCCCAACACCCCTACTCCCAGCAAAACCACACACTACGACCACCACAAATACCTACAGCATAGGCCATTGAGGCAATTGCAGACATTGCTGATGAAGATTGCAGCTGAAAAAACTACATGTAGACCATGCTACTGAGTCCACCCAGAACTAAAGCTAACTCACCACACTCAAATGACACCTTGGGACCTATCTACAGGAAGAATTATCTCCTAATGAAAGTTACTTCATAAACCTGGAAAGGGTCACTATTCCACTAGATGTTCAGATATCAGCATAGGGACACAAGCAATGTGAAAAAGCAAGGAAATGTGATACCTGCAAAGGAATACAATAAGTCTTTAGTAAAAGACCCCAAAGAAAAGGACATTTATGAAATGCCTGAAAATAAGATAATCTTAAGGAAACTCATGGAGATACAAGAGAATACAGCAAATAATTCAGTGAGATCAGGAAAACAATTCATCATCCGAATGAGAAATGCAACAAAGATAAGTGTCATAAAGAACCAAACAGAAATCTTGGAGCTGAGGAATTATGAATGAAATAAAAAGTGCAAGTGAAAGCTTCAACAACAGACTAGATCAGGCAGAGTAATTTCTGAACTTGAAGACAGGCCTCTTGAATTATCCCAGTCAGAGGGAAAAAAAAATAAGAATTTTAATTGAAGAAAGCCTGTGGGACTCATGCGATACCATTAAATGAACAAATGTGTGCATTATAGGAACTTCGTAGGGAGAAGAGTTGGAGAAAGACACAGAAAACCTATGTAATGAAATAATAGATGAAAACTTCCCTAGTCTTGGCAGAAATACGGACATAGGAATTCAGCAAGTTCAGAGGTCCCCAGTTAGATTCAGTCCTCTCTGAGGCACATTATAATCATACTCTCAAAAGTTAAAGACAGAATTTTAAAAGCCACAAGAAAACAGTGTCACATCACACACAAGGGAATGTCCATTAGACTACTAGTAGATTTCTCAGCAGAAACCTTGCAGGTTAGAAGAGAATGGGATGATATATTCAAAGTGCTGAAAGAAGGGGGGCTTGTGGGGAGGAGGAACTGTCAGCCAAGAATATTATATCCAACAAAGTTATCCTTCAGAAATGAAGGAGAAATAAGACCTTTTCAGACAAGCAAAGGCTGAGAGAATTTGTGACCAGTAGGTTGGCCTTATAAGGAATGCTTAAGGGAGTGCTACCACTGGAAAAGAAAGGACAATAATTATCATGAAAACATGTGAAGGTGTAAAACTCACTAGTAGAGGTAAATTCATAAAATACTCTAGTGATTTAATGGTCCTATGTAAATCTCTCAATCCTCTAGTATGAAGACTTAGAAGTCAAAAAGGTCAAAAACAACAACAACCACACTTAGTGGCTACAAATATATAATAAATAAGTAGATTAAGGCAACAAAAATATTAATTGTGTATGGGGTTAAGTCTAGAATATTTTCATGCAACCAGATTTAAATTGCTATCAGGTTGATGTAGTCTATTGTAACTACAAGACTCTTATGTTAGCCCCATGGTAACCACAAAGAAAGAAATTACGACAGAATAATAAACAGTAAAGAGAAAGAAAACAAAACTTCGCAGCACAGAAAACCACCAAACCGCGAAGGAAAATAACATGAGTAAAAGAAAGGGGAAAAGGATCTACAAAACAAGCAGAAAACAACAATATGGCAGGAATAAATTTTTATTGATATGACCTTGAATATAAATGGATTAAAGTCTCAAATTTAAAAACACAGAGTGGTCGAACAGGTTTTAAAAATAAGACCCAACTATCTGCTGGCTACAAGAGGCTCACATCATCATTAAAGACAAACATAAACTGAAAGTGAAGGAATGGAAAAACATATTCCATACAAACAGAAACCAAAAGTGAGCAGGAGTAGCTATAATTGTATCAGATAAGACAGATTTTAAGTCAAAAACTGGAAAAAGAAAAAAGGTCATTATGTCATGATTAAAGGATAAATTCAATAAGAGAATATTGTAACAAATACATATGCACTCAACCCTGAAACATACAGATGTACAAAACAAACATGATTGCACATAAAGGTACAGATCAACTGCAATACAATTATAAAAGGGAAGTTTGGCAAAGAAATATCAGACTAAAACTACATCAAAGACCTAATGCACCTAGCAGATATTTACAGAACATTTTAACAGCTGCAGAATACAAATTCTTCTCAATTACACATGAAACATTCTCCAGGATAGAGCACATGCTAGGCCACAAAACAAATCTTAACAGATTTGAGATAGAGATCCTATCAAGTATCTTTTCTAACCACAGTGGTATGAAACTAGAAAACAACAACATGAGCAACTTTGGATACTTTGAAATACGTGGAAATTAAACAACATGGCCCTCAACAACCAGTGGGTCAATTAAATTAACAGAGAAATGAAAAATTGCTTTGAGACAAACAAGAATGCAAACACATCTTACCAAAACCTGTGAGACACAGCGAGAGAGCAGTTCTAACAGGGAATTTTATAGCAATACACAGCTACATTAGAAAAGAAGAGAGATTTTTAATGAACAACCTAATGACGTACCACAAGGAACTAGAAAAACAAGAACAAACTGAACCCAAAATTGATAGAAGGAAAGGTAGAATAAGGCTCAGAGAAGAAATAAAGACAAATTAACATTCAAAAGATCAAGAAAACGAAGAGTTGGTTTTTTTGAAAAGATAAGCAAAATCAACAAACTTTAAGCTAGACTAAAAAAAACAAGACTCAAGTAAAATCAGAGATGGAAAAGGAGATGTTACAACTGATACTACAGAAATACAGAAAATTATAGAGAATATTATGAGCTGCTATATGCCAACAAATTTGATAATATGGAAGAAATAGATAAGTTCTTGGACATATACAAACTACTGAGATTCAATTATAAAGAAATTAAAGATCTGAACAGACTAATAACTAGTGAGACAATTAGTTATAAAAAGTCTTTCCTGGATAGAGAAAATGTGGCACATATACACCATGTGGAATACTGTGCAGCCATAAAAAAGAAAGACTTTATGTCCTTTGCAGGAACATGGATGAAGCTGGAAACCATCATTTTCAGCAAACTAACACAGGAACAGAAAATCAAACATTGCATGTTCTCACTGATAAGTGGGAGTTGAACAATGAGAACACATGGACACACGGAGGGGAGCATTACACACTGGGACCTGTCGGCGGGTAGGGGGTAAGAGGAGGGATAGCATTGGAGAAATTCCTAATGTAGATGATGGGTTGATGGGTTCAGCAAACCACCATGACACATGTATACCTATGTAACAAACCTGCACTTTCTGCACATATATCCCAGAACTTAAAGTATAATAAAAAATAAAAAAATTTAAAAAAAATGTTTCATCAAAGAAAAGCTTAGGACCTGATGGCTTCACTACTGAATTCTACAAAACATTTGAAGAAGAACTAATAACAGTTCTCCTCAAACTATTCCAGAAAATTGATAAGTGGGGAGTATTTGTAAAATTTTATGAGGCCAGCATTACCCTGATCCTGAAACCAGACAACGATACAACAACAACAGCAAAACTACAGGTAAGTATCTGTAATGTGAACATAGATGCAGAAATTCTTAATAAGATATTAACAAACTGAATCCAGCAGCACATTAAAAAGATCATTCACTGTGATCAAGTATTACTCATACCAGTGTTGCAAGGGTAGTTTAACGTATGCAAGTCAATAAGTGTAATACATCACATTAACAAAAAGAGACAAAAACAATATGATCATTTCAGTAGATGCAGAAAAAGCATTTGACATCCTTCAACATTCTTTCATAAAAACTCAACAAATTAGTTATGGAAGGTATGTACCTTAACACAGTAAATGTCATGTATGAAAAACCCACAGCTGACATCATACTGAATGAGGAAAAGCTTTCTTTTAATATATGGAACAAGACAAGGATGCCAACTTCTGCTACTTCTGTTCAACATAGTACTGGAAGTCCTAGCCTAAGCCATTAGGGAAGAGAAAGATATAAAAGGCATCCAAATTGGAAAAGAGGAAGTCAGATTGTCCTGTTTGCAGACATGATCTTACATATAGAAAACCGAATGGGAGAAAATTTTGGCAACCTTCTCATCTGACAAAGGGCTAATATCCAGAATCTACAATGAACTCAAACAAATTTACAAGAAAAAAACAACCCCATCAAAAAGTGGGCAAAGGATATGAACAGACACTTCTCAAAAGAAGACATTTATGCAGCCAAAAGACACATGAAAAAATGCTCATCATCACTGGCCATCAGAGAAATGCAAATCAAAACCACAATGAGATACCATCTCACACCAGTTAGAATGGCAATCGTTAAAAAGTCAGGAAACAACAGGTGCTGGAGAGGATGTGGAAAAATAGGAACACTTTTATACTGTTGGTGGGACTGTAAACTAGTTCAACTATTGTGGAAGTCAGTGTGGGGATTCCTCAGGGATCTAGAACTAGAAATACCATTTGACCCAGCCATCCCATTGCTGGGTATATACCCAAAGGACTATAAATCATGCTGCTATAAAGACACATGCACACGTATGTTTATTGCGGCACTATTCACAATAGCAAAGACTTGGAACCAACCGAAATGTCCAACAATGATAGACTGGATTAAGAAAATGTGGCACATATACACCATGGAATAGTATGCAGCCATAAAAAATGATGAGTTCATGTCCTTTGTAGGTACATGGATGAAATTGGAAATCATCATTCTCAGTAAACTATCGCAAGGACAAAAAACCAAACACCTCATGTTCTCACTCATAGATGGGAATTGAACAATGAGAACACATGGACACGGGAAGGGGAACATCACACTCTGGGGCCTGTTGTGGGGTGGGGGAAGGGGGGAGGGATAGCATTAGGAGATACATCTAATGCTAAATGACGAGTTAATGGGTGTAACACACCAGCATGGCACATGTATACATATGTAACCTGCACATTGTGCACATGTACCCTAAAACTTAAAGTATAATTAAAAAAAAAAAACCAAAGGACTCTACTAAAGAACTGGTAGAACTAATAAATGAATTCAGTAGTTATGGGATACAAAATCAGCATACAAGAATCAGTAGTCTTTCTATATATTAACCATTATTAATATTGGTTCATTAACTATCTGAAAAAGAAATCAAGAAAACAGCTCCATTTACGATAGCTTAAAAAAAAAAAGATAATAGAAACAAAACCAAATTGAAAGCTCTCTATATTGAAACTCTAAAACTTTAACAAAAGAAATTGAAGAGGACACAAATAAATGGCAAGCTACTTTGTCTTCATGGTTTGGAAGAATTAATATAGTTAAGATGGCCATATTACCTAAAATAATCTACAGATTTGATGCAATTCCTATCAAAATACTAATGACATTCTTTACACAGATAGAAAAAAAAATCCTAAAATTCATATGGAACCACAAAAGGACCCAAATAGCCAAAGCAACCCTGAGCAAAAAGAAAAACCTGCAGGTATCACACCAACCAAGTTCAAAATGTACAGTTGACTCCTAAAGAACTTAGATTTAAACTGTGCAGGCTCACTTTTATGTAGATTTTCTTCTGCTTCTGCCACCCCTGAAACAGCAAGACAAATCCCTCAACAGGAAGCCTACTCACCAGGAAGACAATGAGGATGAAGACCTTTATAATACTCCACATCCACTTAATAAATAATAAATATATTTACTCTTCCTTATGTTTTTCTTAATGACATTTTCTCTAGCTTTATTGTAAGAATATAGTATATAATGTATGTAACAGACAAAATATGTTAATTGACTATGTTATCCGTAAGGTTTCTGATCAATAGTAGGCTATTAATAGTTTTTTGGGGGAAGTCAAAAGTTGTTCAAGGGTCACTGCTACTACAAAGTTATGGGAACCTAAACATGTTACTGGCTTTAAAAACAGACGCATAAACCAGTGGAACAGAATAGAGAGCCGACAAATAAATTTACATACCTATAGCCAACTAATTTTTCATAATGGTGGCAAGAACACACATTAAGGAAAAGACAAATCTCTTTAGTAAATGGTGCTGGGAAAATTGGATATCAACATGCAAAAGAATGAGTCTAGACCTCTACCTCTTACCAAAAAAAAGAAAAATCAAAACAGATTAAAATGTAAATGTAAAACCCAAAACTATGCAACTACTGGAAGAAAACAGAGAGGAAACTTTTCACAGCATTGACCTGGAGAAGGGTTTTTTAAACAAGACTTCAAAAGCAGCAGGCAACAAAAGCAAAACTAGACAAACAAGATTACATCAAATTATAAAGCTTTTGCACAGCAAAGGAAGCTATTGACGGAGTGAAGAGGCACCTAAAGAATGAGAGTAAATATTTACAAAGTATGTATCTGGCAAGAGGTTAATATTCAGAACATAAAAGGATCATAACAGCAAAAAAAAAAAAAACCTGATTAAGAAAATGGGCAAACTACCTTAATAGACATGTGTCCAAAGCAGACATACAGATGGCCAACATGTATATGAAAAAATGCTCAACATCAGTAATCATCAAGAAAGTGCAAATCAGAACCACGATAAAATACCACCTCACTCCAGTTAGCATGGCTATTGTTAAAAAGAGAAAATAAGGGTTGGCAAGGATGTGGAGAAAGGGAAACACATTGTTGGTGGGATTGTAAATTAACCATTATGGAAAAGAGTATGGAGATCCTTCAAAAAATTAAAAATAGGACTACCATACAATCCAGCCATTCCATTACTAGGTATATATCCAAAAGAAATTACTATGTTGAAGAGAAAACTTCAACTCCCATGTTTATTGCAGCACTGTTTACAATAACTAAGATACGTAATCAACCTAAGTGCCCATTAATGCAAGAATGAATACAGAAAATGTATATATACATAATGGAATATTATTCAGCCATGAAAGTATGAAATCTTCTCATTTGCCACAATTGGATGAACCTGAAAGAAGTCATGTTTTGTGAAATAATCCAGACACAGAAAGACACATAACACATGATCCCACTCATATGAGATCTTTTTTTCTTAACAACAACAAAAACAGAGTTGGTATCCTTGAAACAGGAAGTAGAATAGTGGTTACCAGAGACTGGGAGGGGCGGGAAGAGATGGAAGGGTGCAGAGATGTTGGCCAGTGGGTACATAGTTACATTTAGACAGTAGGAATAAATTTTGATGTTCTGTTACACAGTAGACTGACTGTAATTAACAGTGAAATATTGTATATTAGGAAACAGCTAGAAGAGAGGCTTTCAAATGTTCCCACCACAAAGAAATACGTGCATGAGGTGATGAATACTAGCCACCCAGATTGGATAATTATATAGCATAGATAGGTATCAAAACATCAAATTGTACCCCCATAAGTATGTATAATTCCACTGTGTCAATTAAAATTTTTTCTAAAATTTTCTAAAATTATTTTTTCTAAAAAGACCACCCACGGAATGAGAGAAAATATTTGTAAATTGTATATCTGATAAAGGATTAAAATTTAGAGTATATAGAGAACTAAAACTCAACAGCAGCAACAATAAAAAACACAACCCAGTTGAAAAATGGCAAGGGACTTGAATAACTTTTTCCCAAGGAAGGTACATAAATGGCCAATAAGCACATGAAAAAATGTTCAACATCTCTAGTCATTACGGAAGTGCAAGTGAAAACTACAATGCTATATAATTTCATATCCATTAGGGTGGTTACTATAAAAAATTTACAAGTATTAAAAAGATGAGGTTGGGAACCCTTGAGCACTGTTGGTGGAAATGGAAAATTGTATGACAGTTTCTCGAAAAATTAAAACTACCATACGACCCAGCAGTTTCACTTCTGAGTATATTCCCGAAATAATTGAAAATGGTCTCAAAAAGATATGTGTACAGCCATATTTATAGCAGCATTGTTCACAGTAGCTAAAATGTGAATGCAGCACACGTGTACATCAACAGATGAATGGATAAGCAAAATATGGTGTTTACATTTGGCCCTTCGTATCCACAGAGTCTGCATTCATGGATTCAACCAACCACAGATCAAAAACATTTGGGCTGGGTGTGGTGGTGTGTGCCTATAATCCCAGCTACTCAGGAGACTGAGGTAGGAGGATTGCTTGAGCCAAGAAGTCCACCACCAGCCTGTGCAACAGAGACAGCATCTCTCAAAAAAGGATCAGCCAATAAATAAATACAATGTGTGGGGGCTGGATGCAGTGGCTCACTCCTGTAATCCCAGCACTTTGGGAGGCCGAGGTGGGCTGATCATTTGAGGTCAGGAGTTCAAGACCAGCTTGGCCAACATGGTGAAACCCCATCTCTACTAAAAAATACAAAAATTAGCTGAGTGTGGTGGCACTCGCCTGTAGTCTCAGCTACTTAGGAGGCTGAGGCAGGAAAATCGTTTGAACTGGGAAGCAGATGTTGCAGTGAGCTGAGATCACGCCTCTGCACTCCAGCCTGTGTGACAGAGCGAGACTCTGTCTCAAAAAAATAAATAAAATGCATGGGGAAAAAAAACAAAAATAGCAGAACAACAATTTTAAAGATACATATTTTAAAATATAGTATAAAATCATTTATGTCACATTTACATTGTATTATAAATAATGTAGAGATTATTTAAAACATACAGAGGATGTGTATAGGTTATATGAAAATTTACACTATTTTATATGAGAGACTTGAGCATCCGTGGATTTTTGACATCCACAGGGGTCCTGGAACCTGTCCCCCATGGATACTGAGAGATGACTGTATATACAGTGGAATATTAGCCTTTAAAAGCAAGTTAATTTTGACATATGCTACAACATGGATGAACCTTGAGGAAATTATATGAAGTGAAATAAGCCAGTCCAAAAGAAAAAATGCTGTGTTATTCCATGTATATGAGATACTTAGAACAGTCAAAATCACAGAGATAAGCGGAATGGTGGTTGCCAAGAGATAAGGGAAAGGAGAAATGGGGAGTTATTGTTGCATGGTTTTAGAATTAAGGTTTTACAAGATGAAAAAAAGTCATGGAGGCAGATGGTACAGTGGTGTTTGCACAAAATTACAAATGTATTAATATCACCAAACCATACCCTTAAAAATCATGAAAATGATAAATTTTATCCTATGTGTATTTTAATGCAAATAAAAAGTGGGGGAAAAATTAACCAGTCAACTAACAAAAGCAGAGTATTTTATTTTTTTAAAAATAACCAATTTAAAGTAGAACCAAAAAAACTAATCAAAAAGAAAAGAAAGTGTATTCACCTAATGCATTACCCCACTAGGGTGTTTTAATTTAAAAATAAAATTTCTGCAGGTAATAGGGCTTTCAGCCCAAAGGGAATGATTCTGATGACAGAATTCTGGGCCCTGTGAGGGAGGTGAGTGACTTGTTTTTGTGTATAACTCCCCAGTGCTCCTAAATCATCTCACATTATTGATTATACCAACAATATTCAATACCTTTTGAAAGGAGGGAGAAAATCTGTTAAGTGTCATGTACTGGAAAGACCAAGGCCTCTGAAAGAGCCAGATAAATTGGTTTTTAAATACCTGCCTGGCTGCCTACTAGTCACATGACCTTGAGTATGAATCCTAAACCCCCAAAATGGTAGTTGCTGCTTCTTAATTTTAAGATGAGATCATAATAATGCCTTCCATGCAAGATTATTGTGACACCCTGGAATAATGTATGCAAAGCTCCTGAAATGACACCTGGTACATGGTACATGTATAACAAATAAAAACCAATATTATTATGATAATGATGATTCTC
This sequence comes from Homo sapiens, assembly GCF_000001405.40. Taxonomy (NCBI): domain Eukaryota; kingdom Metazoa; phylum Chordata; class Mammalia; order Primates; family Hominidae; genus Homo; species Homo sapiens. Next base: position 16,704,219 of record NC_000010.11, on the reverse strand, counting down.
CAGTTGGTAGGTTTTTATCCTTTGTAGAACTTGTGATAGTATCTAAAAATTCAGATTTCTTTTTCAGTACTCAAAATAGATTTAATTTTTTCTTTTATTTAAAATTTTAAAGTTCTAATGTTAAAAATTTTATCCTTGTGAAAGAAAAGGGATTTTCTTTTAGAGTGTGGTCCTTCGACCAGAAACACCATCATCCACTAAGAACTTGTTAGAAATGCAAACACTAGGGCTTCACCCAAGACCTATGAAACTAAAAACTCTGAAAGTTGTAGTCACTCTGTAAAAAATATTCTGATGCACACTCAAGTTTGAGAACGCCTGCTTCAATAAATCTGGGAAACAGAAAAGGGTAGCATTTATGATCTGTCATCCAAAAATAACCACTTTAAATTCTGAGATTTTTTTCCAGTCTTTTCTCTGTTCATATGCATATACACTTATATGTGTATTTCTTCTAGTCTTTTTCCTATACACCTGTGTATATATTTATGGTGTTTTAAAAAGTTAAGATCATGCTGTATAAGTTTTACAGCCTTCATTTTGACCTTCAATATTATGTCATGACCATTGCCCCATGTCATTAAATTTTATTTGAAAACATTTTTAATCATATGGCTACATATTATACCATGCTCTGAGTGTCTCATAATTATGAACCAACCCCCTAGACATCTGAGTTGTTTCTAGTTGTTCAGAAGGACATAAGCAACACTCAGTTGAAAATCTGTATTCATAAATCATTGTTAATATGAGTGATTATTTCCTCCGCATAAATTTATTACTAGGGTGGAATTACCAGGTCAAACAGTATGAACATTTTTACAACTCTTAATAGAAATCGCCAGATTGCTTTTCAGAGAAGAGGTGCCAGTTTGGATTCTAACCAGCAATGTAGGGAAAATGTTTGTCCATTCCTCTAACACAACCAACGCTGCTGTATTAGTCTGTTCTCGCACTGCTATAAAGAAATGCCTTAGACTGGGTAATTTATAAAGAACAGAGGTTTAATTGGCTCAGAGTTCTGCATGGCGTATAGGAAGCATGATGCTGGCATCTGCTCGGCTTCTGGGGAGGCCTCAGGAAACTTAAAATCATGGCAGAAGGCAAAGGGGGAGTGAGATGACTCACATGGTGGGAGCAGGAGCAAGAAAGGAAGTAGGGAGGTGCCCCACACTTTTAAACAACTAGATTTTGTGATTACTCGCTGTCACTAGAACAGCACCAGAGGGATGTTGCTAAATCATTCATGAAGGATTACTCTTATGATCCTGCCACCTCACACCAGGCCTCCCTCCGACATTGAGGTTTGCAGTTCGATCTGTGACTTGGGCAGGGTTGCAGATCCAAACGATATCATTCTGCCCCTGGCCCCTCCAAATCTTGTATTCTTCTTACATTGCAAAATATAATCATGCCTTCCCAACTGTCCCCCAAAGTCTTAACTCATTCCAGCATTAACTCAAAAGTCCAAAGTCTCACCTCAGACAAGGCTGGTCCCTTCCACCTGTGAACCTATAAAATAAAAAATAAGTTTGTTACTTTCAAGATAGAGTGGAGGTATAGGCATTGGGTAAATACTCCTGTTCCAGTAGGGAGAAATTGGCCAAAAGAAAGGGGCTACAGCTCCCATGGAAGTTCAAAACCCAGCACGGCAGTCATTAAATCTTAAGACATCAAAATTATCTCCCTTGACTCCGTGTTCCACATTTAGGGCACTCTAATTCAAGAGATGGCCTTCCAAAGCCCTGGATGGCTCCCTGTGGCCTTGCAGTGTTTAGCTCCTGTGACTGCTCTATTGGGCTGGCGTTGAGTGCCTGCAGCTTTTCCCGGTGCAGGGTTCAGCCTGTCAGTGGATCTACCATTCTCTGGTCTAGAGGTTGGTGGTCCTCCACTGATAGCCCCAGTAAGGCGGTTCCTCAGTGGAGACTGTGTGTCTGGGCTCCAACCCCATATTTCTCCTTCACACTGCCCTAGTAGAGGTTCTCCATGAGGGCTCTGCCCCTGCAGCAGGCTTCTGCCTGGACATCCAGGCTTTTCCCTACATTCTCTGAAATCTAGGCAGAGGCTTCCCGTCTTCAATTCTTTCACTCTGGGATTTGCCCAAGTCAGTGAATAGTTCTTGAGATCAGGAGCCAGATCCACCAGAGTTTTGTCCATTATGTCCTAACATTACCTGAGCAATAAAAAGGAAATCTGGCAAGGAAAAACAAGATTGCCTCCCACATTTAGAAGAATGATTGAGAAATCCTAAATGAATGCCAGGTTTAAAACATAAATTATTTACTTAACAGCCATTTCAACTTGCAACATAAGGCAACCTTGGAGGTGACTGTTGAGGATGGCACTGTTCTGTTGCTGGTTAATTATATTTATAAGCAACTGAGAGCTTCTTCTATCCCTTCTTAACCTGGACCACAGATATCAAATGGCCAAGAAGAGCATCAGATGGAAGCAATGTAAAATGCTATTTTTCTTCATTGGCATAAGGACTTCTGGGCCTCTTCACACCAGCACACACTTAAATCAGGTGCTGCTTGTGTTGGAACTATTTGGTAGGGTGGTGGTTTTCTCTTTTTAAATCTTTTTGTGTGTGTGTGTGTGTGTAAGTTGTACTATCTTCCCCGACTAGATCCGAAGAGTAGCCGTTTATTTTAGTATGTATCTTAAAGCAGCAATGCAATGCATGCATTAAATGTACAGAATGCCTCTTTTAAAAATGTGTTGCTGGAAAGGCCAAGCAGACAGTTGCCGGAATGACAGTGTGGCCTTGCATTCCCCACAGAATAAATTTGAGAGCTGTCATGAGACATCCCAGCTTACATTGCGTTGATGATGTACAGAAAGAAAAGCAACTTCAGACCTAGATTCTCATTCCACTTAGGTTTTTAGACCGTCATCTATTACGCAGACAGAAGAGAATGGGCCACAAGCGTGATGTTCACTGCAATAGGCTATACTTAAATTAAAGGATACTGTTTTGTACCAATTAGTGTGCACCATGTGCTTTTAATTTGTTTTTGACCATTCCCTTTCAATGTACTTTAATCTTTTTTAATTATGAGAATAATCCATACTGTTAACATGGAATTCTCCAAATCGGTAATTAATGTTTATCCTTTGCTCTGCCAGTTCAACCTCCTGCCCTACCTTAATTTGAGAAAACCAACATTAATATTTCCCTTATTTGAGAAAATCAACCTTAAAAACTTAATATTATCCTTTTCTTCTTTTACACATAAACATTTAGTCATATACATATATGGATTTCTACTGTATTTTTTCAAAAATTGGTTGATAGCAAGCTTGGTAGATCCTCATTGTTTTAATTATAGTTACAGACCTCCCTCCAGGTCAGTGCATACAAATAACTCTGTTTTAATAACTGAATAGCATTTCACAGTATGGCTATAGCACATTATTCTGCTTATCACCTGGTAATGAAATTTCCGGTTGTTTACAATGTTTAGTTACTGCCGACACTGTCTATTACAATATGAGCATTTTATAGGCCTTCTGATCATTTTCCACTCAGTAAAGTGTGTTCCTAAAGAAGTGAAAAAGTAGGAACTTTCCAGAGTCGGCCACTTGTCTGTAATCATGCACTGCTATAATTAGTAGCCTAGCACATGATAATGAGAATTATGGAGACTTATGTGTAGAATCTTTGTCTATGTGGGAGAGTCCCTAAATGTAGCTTTTATTTTGTATCGGAGTCATTTGTGGTTAGCTTCCATGTGAGGATTCGCCGCAGAGAAGAGGTGATCTTTCAGCTGTTATTATGTCCCATCTCGATCCTTTCTGAGCAAATCAATTGCTTGGTTTTGGAGAAATCTAGTATAGTAATGATGGGCTATACCCAATCAGCCACTTTTTTTTAGTTTTACCTTGTTAGACCACAATCTTAGATATTTATGAGTGAATGAGAGAGCGTGGCTTTTGGAGTGCATTAATTTTAAAAAGCTCTCTGTGGTACTATTTTGAAATTAGGAAGGGAGGGAATGCTACTTTGATGACGTGAAAAATTTGCCCAGATCGCCTCGATTGCTTACTATGTGATAAATGGTGCCGCTAGCCACATGTTTCAGGATTTTGAATACTCAGGAAGAATTCTTAGAGTGTGATTATGGAAACAACCAATTTCCATAAGTGAAAATGAGCATGCTTATTAATGGGGCTGCAATTGTCTATTGCATTCAGTCACATTTATAACCAGCAAGGAGAATGAGTGTTTTGCATGATTTAATGTTTACACAATTGCAGTTGCATGGCAAAGCTTGCTGTACTAGAGGCTTTGGAAAGAAGCATATGTGGTCGTTTTGCAGGTAATAAAATGGAAAATCCAATTTGCAATTGCAGAATAAGCCTCTGAGTGATATACGATCTTCATAGCAGCATCGGTCAGAGGGTCACTGCTAATCACGGCGCTGCCTGGCTTCCCCAGTGGCCTGCGCCTTCCAACTGAGGAGTGAGCAAAGTGAATCTGTGTCTGGGAGCCAGCCAGCGTGTCTGTAGATGCACCACTTTCTAGCTTATTAGATCCTCTTTGTCACAGTGCTTAATCCTGCTGCCTGATCCTTGTTAGAACACCACCAGAGCGCCGCTCAGCCTTCTAATAAAGGGGATGGGTGAGGGCTCCTAACTCAACGCACTGAAGCGTGTGGCGTCAGAGCGATTGCAGGCTGACTGACAGCGGGGTGAGATGCTTCCTGCATGTTATTACTTAAAAGGGAACCTACCTCCGACAGCTGACAGACGAGCTCTGCCGAGGCAATGGTAACTTGTTGCTAGGCCAATATGAGTCGGGTGTCATCTTTTCACACAATATAATGGCCAGCTTTACTCTAATTATATTAACCCTCTTCTGAAATTGCTTCATCCCCAACTGGTGCAGAGTGAGGCAAGAGAACCCAGAGACAAATCGCTTGCTGGGAGGGTTGCAGCGCTACAGAAACAGGTATTGTGTTATCCACCGGTGACATTAAGTTGAAAAACAAAACAAGCATGCCCTATTACAGCAAGTCCCAGTTCTAACTCCAAAGAGACATTGCTCTGTTTCGCTCGCGCGGTTTCCATTTCTGTCATTTATAATAGTTTCCTCCTTTAAGGTTTGCCACGGACATTATACCTGGGTTTCATGGCTCTTTGTTAAAAAGAAAGACCAACATCATACAAGAAGCTTTTTTCTTTTCTTTTTTTTCCCCAGGGAACCCTAATCATTCTTTTCTATTAGGCTCTTAAGTTCATGTAGCTTTAGGAAGCACTTGGGGATTTAATTTAGTAGCATTGCTTGATACTGAAGTAAGTAAATGAGGGTGGGGAGGGTAACCCAGTCATCTGTACCCTCCTTGCCACTCCCCATCCCAGCTAAAATATGCAGATGGGTTGGAAGTGATATAAGTGAAGATGATCGTGAATAGCCTGTGGTCCTTTCTGTTAACTCTGACTTGTAGACATCAGCGTGTGACTCCTTTTCCCTTAAGGGAGTATGTCTAGCTTGCATCCAGCGTCTCCTGTGTGCTCCAGTTAGCAGCCATCATTAGCAATCTGTGATGCCTCTGCCGTCTCCACTGACAGCACCTAAATAGAGACATCACTTGGGATTGACAGATCTCCAGGGGGTTACAGGCTTCAGACAAAAGGGCCCAGAGAACATGGCTGACCTTTCTTGGCATTATTCTCCTTCCATGAGTGGCAGTCAGGGAGCATAGAACTTTAGTACATTATTTTCAGAGGATTACCACTGAAAAGACTGCACACTTAGTAAGATGCTGTTAATAAGTTAACAAGAGGCTGTGTGCGTTCCAGAGTGGTTTTGCAGGCCGTCAGTAGTAGAACACGAGTGCTTCTTTCCCGCAGAAATACGTCCCTATTCCTTAAGTTCAAGGAGGGGTCTTTAAAACCAGCTTTACTCATAACATACCTTCAGTTTCGGATGATCGAGCAAGGCTTGGGACTCGGCGGAAGGGAGCTTGTGATGCAGGCTAGAAAAGAGGAGTCTCTTCCCCTCATTATCCCAAGCAAGTCTTCCCAGGGAAAATTTGAAATAGCTGAGACTTGTGTGTGTCATCCTTCCCGGATCCTTTCCCTGCTCCACGTTGTTCTCATGCTTGCCAAGGGCCCTGAAAATACAGTGTGGTGAGAAATGCTGCTCTGTGCCCAAATGTAGCTGACTTCCCTCCTCTTCTCCCTCTTCCCAAAGTAAAAAAAAAAAAAAAAAAAAAAAAAAAAAAAAGGTGTGTTCCTGCAATCACCCCTCTGAACCAGATGTTAAAAGCAAAGCAGTTGTGTAAATGATTGAAAATCCTGGACGCTTCTTCAACAGAGTAAAATTCTACCAACTAGAAGTTCCGACTATATTTCTCATTAGGATAACCAATTTTGCAGAAGAAGGAAAGATATTTAGGGGAAAATACTCACTAACTAGAAAATCCCCTTAGCTTAGGAATTCATTTCTGTGCTATTCCATAAATATGTAGTTTATACTTTTCATGGCTTCTGCTGCTTTTTTTTCATCTACTTTGCAATACACATATTTTTTCTTTTTCTTTTTTTTTTTTTAAGACAGTCTTGCTCTGTTACCCAGGCTGGAGTGCAGTGGTGCCATTTCGGCTCACTGCAACCTCCGCCTCCCAGGTTCATGCAGTTCTCCTGCCTCAGCCTCCCAAGAGGCTGGGACTACAGGTGCGCACCACTGTGCCTGGCTAATTTTTGTATTTTTAGCAGAGACTGGGTTTTGCCATGTTGGCCAAATTGCCTTGTGGTCTGGAACTCCTGACCTCAAGTGATCCACCCGCCTTGGCCTCCCAAAGTGCTGGCATTATAGGCATCAGCCACCACTCCTGGCCAAGAATACACATATTTTTTCCAAACACCTCAAGTTTATTTTTTTCATAGTTGATTCATGCTGATGTCTGTGGGCAGAGATTAGAGGCATGAAGATGACAAGATGTAAGCATAGGTTGTTTCTCAGGTGAATGTTTTAAGAGAGATATATTGAGCTGCAGCACTACCATTCCCAGCTGATGAGGGCATTGCTGCACCGTGGTCACTGTTGTCCAGTTTGTAACCCCTTCCCTTACTAGTCCTGCCTCCTGTGCACAATGGGCAACATACCATCGTGCACATAAAATACGACACATCAGAAATAGACTTGTTTTTAAAGGGATGGCTTCTTTCCAGGAATGTATATTATATTCATTTTTAGGAAAAGGAAAAATTAGAGAAAAAAACCATGAAGGAATTATATGGAAGACAAGATAAATTGAGTGCAGCAAACTAGATTTTAAGAGGAAATAAGAATTATAGAGAAATGTAAACAAGGGGTCAGTTTCATTCTTGGGACTCTAAAAACCCCCTCCCTAAGTAAAGATAAAAACAAAGATCAATGGCAGCCCCTTGCCAACAAGATGAAACCCAGGTGAGATACTCAGCTAAGCAGAATGCATACCACCCCTGGGTTTTCATTCGCCCTAGGCAGCTTTCTGACTCATGGTTTAGAGAATCAAGCTCACTAATTTCCCAAGTGACTTAATATCTGACTAACGATGTTTAACCATTAAGATGAGGAAATTGACAATATTGATAATCTTGGAGAGAAATGGATCTGCTTATTTTTGTACCAAGCGCCAACAAATTCTTAGTAGCTTTGGAAACATGATGAATTACTCTCTCTTGATATTTAGTAGTGTGTATTTTCTTAAAAAGATTTTGTGAAATTGTAGTCGTTTTTCTTTTGTTTTTCTGAATAGTTGCAAGTTCATAGAACAAAAAGGAAAGATTCAAAGTATCTATTATTTTGTTTTAACAAGCAATATTGCATTATCTTCCTCATAAAAAAATTCATTTATCCTTTCATTTCCAAAGCTCAGATCAGCTAGGCAATGATTTGCTTTGTACTTGCGTCCCAGGATATGTTTTCATTGTCCTGAGTTACCATCTATGAAAACATAGGCAGTAGAACCTGGGAACAGCAACAGCACGTAACTTCGGTTGTGTCTTAGCAAAAATCTTTGCTGTGTCTCTAGGTTCAAACAGTACCAGGCCATGGATGAGAAGTGTGAAAATTGATTTCCTCAGTAGGACTTTTAGGGACAGACCTTCACATATATCCCTGCTGCCTAACTTCTCTTTCTCTGCTTCTTGCTTTCATAGGCGAGCGCATTTTAGGAAGTTCTTTCACACTTTGCCTTTTCCATTTTTGAATATATCAAAAAGAAAAAAAAACAGTCAACTGGTCATTAACAGAGGATATCCAGATGAGGGGTGCTTGCTGGCTTTTTTATGCTACCTTCATTAAATCAACCTTATCTAAATTGATATGTAACCTGATGGCCTCACCAGACACTGTAGAAGGTGTATGAGATTGAGCATCAGCTTGAAATCTTCATGCTGGCTTTTTCTGATCTTGGGCATATTAGTTAATTTCCTTAAGTTTCCATTTCTTCACCTATAAAGTAATATTAGTATCTGACCTTCCAGATTGCTGGAGAATGAAATGAGGAATGATTTTAAAAGGTAATTAGTCTTTATCACTGCCATGTTAATGAGATTCATTTAGGGCTGATTCCGAGATGTGCTTATGCTCTTATACTTGAGTAACAACGGTTTGGCTTGGGTAATATTCCTGTCTTTCTCCATTCATACGCTGTCTTGATTGGTGAAAAAAGTGGTGTTGATCAGATTGGGCCCAGATCAGCCAGGACAAGGCATGATGCATACTGACATGGTCAAGATAGAATTTTAAATGGTTTTCATATTATCACTTCTCTTAATTTTGAACAAGTCATTTTTGTCTCTGCAGCAAATACCTCCTTCCCTCTGCTCTGCTTTCCTTTTCCATCTGTCTTCTTTCTTCCTTCCTTTGTTCTTAATTTCTGGGGCCAAGGTACTGTCATGACTGTGTACCTGTGATGACTTGGGTTAAGAAATTTAAAAGACATCAAATGATCCAAGAGGCACTTAGGGTTTGATTTAGGGTACTTAGGCTGTGATTACTGAGAAGGACTTCTTAGACCTGATCTGTATTGGATGAAGTGACCTTCACTTTTTTTTTCCCCCCCCCCAGGAAACTTGGATTTAACTGGCCAGAAGCAGGTATTCAAAGCAGAGAACAATCCCTGGGTGACCCCCATTGCAGACCAGTTCCAGCTTGGCGTGTCCCATGTTTTTGAGTATATCCGTTCTGAGACATACAAATAGTAAGTAGACTCTGATTTTCTGAAATAGTAGACTGTGATTTTATAGTATTTATAATTACGCCTTTAAAAATATTATGTGACAGTATCCTATTGATGGCAGTTAGCACTTAGCATTTTAAGATGTTTTATTAAAAACTGCATGTCGGCCAGGTGTGGTGTGGCTCACAGCTGTAATCCTAGCATTTGGGGAAGTCGAGACTAGAGGATTGCTTGAGCCCAGGAGTTTGAGACCAGCCTGGGCAACATAGCAAGACCCCGTCTCTACAAAAGAAAAAGAAAAAGAAATTATCCAGGCATGGTAGTGCATGCTTGTCATTGTAGCTATTCTGGAGGCTGAGTTGGGAGGATCACTTGAGCCCAGGACATTGAGGCTGCACAGAGTCGTGGTCATGCCCTGCACTCGAGCCTGGATGAGAGAGCACGACCCTTTCTCAAAAGAAAAAAACAAGAAAAAACAGCATGTGGTCATTGTCTCTATTTGTAAATTGTTTTTTATTGATATTTTCAAGGGGATTTTTACTGATTTTCTTTAGAGAATTTTTGAGGTATTAAATTAGTTGAATATTCATGGCACTAAGGAAATTCACCATTCAGATCAGAACATATTTTTTTTCTTCTGTGAATGCAAAGAATTACAAGTGTTCTGAACAAAATTGTTAAGCAGTTTATTTATAAAATCAGTAGAGAGTACTAGCAATGCGTCATTCTATTATAGAGAAGCTTGTACTGTAGTGAGATGATAATCTCTTAGAGAAAAGGGGAAGGCAGGAGAGGAAGCGGAATCTGCCAGCTTAAAGTCACAGCATCCAAATACCTCAAGTCCTCACTCCAGGTGAAAGGAGTCTATGCAAAACTGTCCCAAAAACCTCACGATTCCTGCTTCTTTCTTCCTCCATGTGTCAAGGTTGAAAGGAATTCTGCCACTTCCACGTGCTTCTGTTGTTATATGTACCGTCATTATTTTCCTACCTTATCCCAGCCCCCAGCTGCAAAACAAACTGTCATTTATCAAATACTTGCCTGACCCCAAATGCTGAGATCTAGTATAATTTTAAGCATATACAAAAAAGACAAAAACATCCCTACTCAAATGTAATCTGTTTTTGTGTCTGACATCAACTTTTAAAATTTATTTTTTAATTAATTAATTAATTTTTTTTAAGAGACAGGGTCTCACTGTATTGCTGGGCTGGAGTGCAGTGGCACAATCACGGCTCACTGCAGCCTCAAGCGCCTGGGCTGAGGCAATCCTTCCATTTCAGCCTTCCAAGTAGCTGGGACTACAGGAGCACACCACCATGCCCAGCTAATTTTTTTAATTTTTTGCAGAGACGGGGTCTCCCTTTGTTGCCCAGGCTGGTCTCAAACTCCTGGTGTCAAGCAATCCTGCTTTCATCTTCCAAAGTGCTGGGATTACAGTCATGAGCCACCATGCCCAGCCTGGCACCAACTTTTGAGAATCTAACATCCCAACTATTGGAAGAAAGCTAGAAGATTGCTAAAGGTCACATTTAGTTAAGAGTTTCTTTTCTTTTTTTTTTTTTTGGTATCAGAAATATGTCCCACACTCAAGAAAACCCTGTGAATCTGTGCCAGGCCAGTGGGTCGGGATTGATTGGCAGGGCAGAGCCTCTGCCCAGAAGTGGCTGGCTGCATTTCTGCAGTCTTGCAGCCTGAGCGCCATGCTCCTGGTCAAACATTTAGCACTTGCTGTGGCCATGTTTCCACCAGACAGAAACAGAGAAGACAAGCTGTAAAGAATAATGGCCAGCCGGAGCATGGTGGCTCACGCCTGCAACCCCAACACTTTGGGAAGGCAAGGCGGGTGGATCACTTGAGGTCAGGAGTTTGAGATCAGCCTGGCCAACATGGTGAAACTAAAAACACAAAAATTAGCTGGGCATGGTGGAGGGGCACCTGTAATCCTAGCTATTCAGGAGGCTGAGGCACAAGAATCGCTTGAGCCAGGGAGGCAGAGGTTGCAGTGAGCTGAGATCGTGCCACTGCACTCCAGCCTGGGCGACAGAGCAATATTCCATCCCAAAAAAAAGAAAAAAGAACAATGGCCTTAAAATGAAATACACTAAAATTGCCAAAATGATACCGTATCCTCCTATATAAAAGCAATGTAAAGCGTGGTTTAGATTACTTTAGACAATACTATGACACTTACAGTATAAGTCTAAAGACTTACCTTAAGGATAAAATGAGATAGGTATAGGATGTGTATTAATTGTTTCATAAGCCATATAGATATGTACAGTTATTACAGATTCAATTTTTTTTAAAAAAATACGAATGTAGCTCACCCTTAGAAATTAGTTAATTATGAAAATGTGTGAAAATATAGTCACAAATTAGCAGATGATTGTTTATCTTCTTCTTTGTAAATTGTTAATCATTGCTATCGTGAGTTTTAGATGGGGCTCTAATTTTTTCTTAGTAAACAGGAAGCTATTTAGAGCTTGGTTTGTATGGTATCTTGAAAAAAGTCATTCTGTATATGATAGTATACAGAAAAATGCATGAACAAACTCCTAGCCATCTGGAATTAGAGGAAATTCTCTGTTTATTATTCTGGTTAACAATTTTTAGTTTTCCATAGATCACTTTATAATTTATAGAGGATGAGAATACATTGCATATGAAAGTGCTTTTAATTTTAAAAGATTAAATTGTGAGTTTCTGGATTTTGTATTACCTCAAAGTAATTATTAGGCAATTAATCACCATTCTGCACTGTTACAGACTATTTTAACTGATTTGAATGTGGTTAGGATTCTGGATAAATGAGAGGTATCTATAACATAATTGGTATATCTGTTTTTATGTCTGTTATTAGCATCCTATTTTGGGGGGTTGGCGTAGTCTAAGCAATGTGTCTGCTAACTTTTTCTGTTTCATTTCCTCATGGAGCCTTGGATTACCTTTTATGCAGTTAAGTCAACATTAAAAAGTTTCAGTAGGCTGGGTGCGGTGGCTCACGCCTATGATCCCAGCACTTTGGGGTGAATTGTGGGGTGATTCACCATGAGGAGGGTGAATCACTTGAGGCCAGGAGTTCAAGACCAGCCTTTCCAACATGGTGAAACCCCATTTCTACTCAAAATACAAAAATTAGCCGAGTGTGGTGGTGGGTGCCTGTAATCCCAGCTACTTGGGAGGCTGAGGCAGGAGAATCGCTTGAACCTGAGAGGTGGAGGTTGCAGTGAGTTGAGATAGATGGCGCCACTGCACTCCAGCCTGGGTGACATAGTGAAACTGTGTTTCAAACAAAAAAAAAAAAAAAAAAAAAAAAAAGAAGCAGCAGCTTCAGTAAGCACCGGAGAGCCATTGCCTCCTTTCCACGGGGACCAGCTGGTTCCATAACAGCTGCTTTTAGGGGCATCTACATGATGCTCTGCTGGGAGGTCACAAGGTACATGAGCTATGCTAGGGCAGGGGCCTGCTGTGAGTTCTCTTCTGTCCTCCTTGGGAAGGAGAAGAAGGTTGGTTACTTTGTGTATTTCAGTTTTTTTGTCCTTCTGTCATTCTCCTGTAGCAGCTGTCGTCACCCCTTTGTCAAACATACTAGCCCAAAATATGGACTGTTAGCTGATAAGACAATAAGTCAAACTCTTAATCATTAAAAAAAAAAAAAAAACTGCACAAAAATGCCGCTATTGTGTTTCACCAGATTAACACAAACTGATTTTCAAAATTAAGGGCCTCCTTTATATGAATAGATCTGTATTATATTAAGTATATCCTCATACAATTAGAACCCAACTCAACTCTTTGTGTGAAGCAGCCATTTCATAATTAGGGGATTTTTAGTATCCTATCTGAAAAATATTATGCGAATTAGCAGGTATTTGGCTACTTTTTAAAAACGTTTTACATGTGGCAGCCTTCAGGGGAGGCAGTTTATTCATGATACTCATAGTTTTTTTAAAAAAGCAAATTTCACATTCATTGCCTTAGTTTTTGATCTTCTAGTCTAAAACTTATTATAGTTCCTAATTTTCACTTCTTTGTCTCTGTTGTTTAAGCCGCATACTTCCCCTTTATTAAAAAGAATCCTTACTTATATATTTATCAGTGTCTGTGTGTTGCGGATGTGTATTTGTCTATCTTTAAACTACCATGAAAACATACTTTTGGTTTTGGCACTTAAAACGCCTATGAACCTCCTCCTCCTTCCCCCACCCCAACCGCTTTTTTCTAACCAGTTAACCCATTACCTAAATGAGAGGAATAAAGAACTAAAAAACTTACCGGAATGTTTTCTTTTCATTCATGTCTATGATCGGCGTTCACAGTGACCTTCCTCAGAGCACGTCCTCAAGTTCTTCTGAGTCTAGGGCAGAGAGGATGGATGATCTGATTTATAGGCTCTAATGGACTCCAAGAGGAGACATGGATACTTGAAAGAAAACAATGAATTCAGTGTGTCAACAGAATTAAAATACTTGGAGATGACTTAGCTTCATGAAGATGGGAACTTGTTCCATTAAGCAGGAGGGGTGTGGCTGGTAGGATGGTGAGGTATAGTTCTTCAGAGATTGCTCTTTGGAGTAACATTCTGGGCATTAATCACGGCCCCTTCATCATGTCTCAGGTGGAAGCTGCTGTCTCTTCATCTTTCGTGCCTTCCACAGGGGAACTTGTTGGCTGATGTCACTGAGTTGCCGGTTAACATGAAATTATGAGCTTGGTTGGGTCGTTGAAGCTTACATCCTACATGCTCCACTGTGTTTTTAAACTGTCGCTGAGTTATACAATTACCTGTTAACTCTTTATTTGATGGTGGTTGTCTCTTCGACCTCTTTTATTTCTTTGAAGCAGAATTATGATGGAATACTCATCACTTAAGTTTCCAGAAGGTAGATTTTTTTCCCCCAGGAGAGGCAGTCAAGTTGAAGTCAGCACCCTTGACAAGATTCTTTGTGAAAGGGGGTAACTCACACTTTGCACATTTCCATCAAGGAACGTGGATACCAACTGCAAGCCATTTTAAAAGCTGACAAGTTAACTCTTGTCAACAAGTTAACAAAAGAGGTTTGACAAATGTTAGGCTGGAAATGCTTCCCTTGAAAGAGGTATTTGGCAAACAGGCGTCATCATGAAAACTGCAATTTGCCAAGCATGGCAGTCCTAAAGCCTCATTTCCAGCATGGCATCACTCACAGGATGCTTCCTCGTCATTCTGCCTGTCTTTTTCACCTTTCTTTTCTCTCTCCGGAAAAGTTCCCCACTCATTTGTGTTTTGTGTGTTCCGTTTTTTTAACCTTAAATGAAAGACCAGCCATACTATTATTCATATTAGTTAACAAAAACATTTTAACAAAGCAGTCTTTGGTGAATGGTGGGAAACCATGAGATAAAAGCTGAGAATTCCTCTTTATTAGAAATCTAGCCAAATAAATCATCCTGTTTGATTTATAAGGAAACATTCTTTTGGCTGTTGGTTATTGTTTTTCACATTGTTTTACTTGTGGAATTAAAGCTAATTAATGTTTTATTTTTCTTCTGCATGCTGTGCAAACCTGTTACAAGCTGTAATGGACGTACATGGGCTTTATTAAACAACTACTATATCCTCTAGTGACTGCTGAGTCAGTGGCCTAGAAATTCTTTAAATAACTTCACTGATACAACCAGTCCACCACAAGGCTAGGGCATTTCAAACCTAATAGGTGAGCCCATTCATTTTAAAACAGCCCTTCACTGTAGGAAATTATCTCTAAGAAAAACTTAATAAACATCTGATGAAGTATAAATGGGTGCACAGAGCTAGCAGGTGATTTTATAAATATCTTCACAAAGATGGAGGAGAGGGTTAAATTTCCAGGATCTTTCTAGTGGTTAGTAAATTGAACATAGTGACAATCAGTATGTAGAACAATGTAGACTCTTCTTTTTCATTGCTGTATCTGAAAATAGCTCAAATTAAGCCACAGAAAAACAATTTCTGTGTAGTAGACATGAAAATGAAGAACTGTTTTTCTTTAAAGCTTTTTTTTTTTTTCCTTAGGGACACAGTATCACTTTGTCACCCAGGCTGCAGTGCAGGGGCACCATGATAGCTCACTGCAGCCTTGATCTCCAGGGCTCAAGCAATCCCCCTGCCTCAGCTTCCCTAGTACCTGGGACTACAGGCACACACCACAACGCCTGGCTAGTTTTCTATTTTATTTTTTTGTGGAGACTGGGGGTCTTGCTATGTTGCCCAAGCTACTCTCAAACCCCTGGCCTCAAGAGATTTTCCTGCCTCAGCCTTTCAAAGCGCTGAGATTACAGGCACGCACCACGGCACCTGGCTTTTAACATAAAGGTAGTTTTTACATTTTACAAGTTGACTATGTATTCTCTTCCTGGTGATATATATTTTCTTCATAAATGGTACATATTTGTATTATTTTTTCTTTTTTTGAGACGGAGTCTCGCTCTGTCGCCGAAGCTGGACTGCAGTGGCGTGATCTGGGCTCACTGCAAGCTCCGCCTTCCGGGTTCACGCCATTCTCCTGCCTCAGCCTCCCGAGTGGCTGGGACTGCAGGCGCTCGCTACCACATCTGGCTGATTTTTTGTATTTTTTTTAGTAGAGACAGGGTTTCGCCTTGTTGGCCAGGATGGTCTTGATCTCCTGACCTCGTGACCCGTCCGCCTCGGCCTCCCAAAGTGCTGGGATTACAGGCCTGAGCCACCACTACTGGCCTATATTTTCTTTTTTAAAGTTGAAAATGCATTATCACATTTTATCCATAATATGTGATTCAAAGTTTTGGCATCTGTGGACCTATTTGCAAGAAAATATGTTGCATTTAACCAGTATTGCTAAAAAGTATCAGAGAAAAGGGAAACCCATATAATATATTTGGGGTATATTGTGTCACATCTCTTATTTCATGTTAACTTCAATGATAAAATTAGGTAGCATCACATTTTAAAACACAAAAAACTCCAGAATGTTTATTCTACTGAATAAAAGTAAGCCAATATGTAATACTAACTTTTGAAGGCTGGGTGCAGTGGCTCATGCCTGTAATTCCAGTACTTTGGGAAGGCGAGGCAGGAGGATCACTTGAGCCCAGGGAGTTCAAGACCAGCCTGGGCAACATAGTGAGACTTCGTCTGTACAGAAAATGAAAAAAAATTAGCCGGGCATGGTGGCACATGCCTGTAGTCTCAGCTACTTGGGTGGCTGAGGTGGGAGGATGCCTTGAGCCCAGAAGGTCAAGGTTGCAATGAGCCAAGATCACACCACTGAACTCCAGCTTCAGTGATAGAGTGAGACCCTATCTCAAAATAATAATAATAATAATAATTTGATTTTTTGTTTAATTGCTCAACTGTTCCTGTATGTGATCATGAGGTATCAGTTACCCTGCTAAATTGATACCTCCCTCTTTAATATGACAGGAGGAATACAGAGGATGTAAGGAAGAATACGTAAGTTCTTACTCTCTTCCAAATGTTGTGATAGATTGCTTAGTGTATTTTGCATTTAAAGGATTTTTTTTTCTGCCTTGTAACTTGGTTAACACTATTATTCATATATACTTCACAGGTAACTAGTATTTTTCCCTTTTTTGCATTTTCATAATTTATTCAATATATGATGTTTTCACAGGCTTTTGAGGCTTTACTTTTCTGTAATTTTATAGCTCATGCAAAATGGTTCAGTTTTTTAAATGGAAGGTGCTTGTTCCCATTTGATATTTCCAGGACACTTGGATTCTGTGAGTTAAGTTGGGAACTTCCATCCCCTAATCCTATGAAGGTCAAAGGTGAAACTCTACTAGGGCTTAAAAACCAGCTTCAGGAGACTAGCTGTATTCCTGAAGACATCTAGTAAGACTCCATTGTATACGTGTCCTACTCTGGAGTGTTTTTCACTGTGATATGCAATAGATGCAAATAAAGACTTGGAAAATGTACCCTCCCATATCCACGTTGCTTTCTTCACTACTTCCCTCTGGTCCTCTAATGTGGTTAATCCTCCAGCACTCTGTGCTTGCCTGGGAGCTCTGACTGGGACCTGGTAGGCTCAGGTTTGACCAGTGAGAAAAAACCCTATGCTCCTTGCCTTTTTTACTCAATGCAATTTGCATTTTATTCAATGACTAGTGTACTTATCTTTGAAGAGTTGTGGATAACTATTAGAGGGGCATAGGGGAAAAAAACTACAGCTGCAACATCAAAGGGAGAAGAGAGATTTATCCTGAACCTTGCACTACAAAAGGCTTTTCCGTAGGACTTTAAAGAGTAAAACTATCTCAGTCTCTCTCTGTGTGTGTCTCTCTCCTCCTATTCCAGTCCCCTCTTTCCCCTGTTCCCTTCTCCATCCCCCTCACTTGATTGTTGACTATCAAGCCTGCATTTGGCATGCCTTATACAGCTCCTAAAGTGGAGCATGATACATTACAGTATCAATTTAAGGTAAATAGAATATAGATAATTTGTCTCACTTGACAGAAGGAAAATAAATATCAGCTAGACTCCATCCATACTCCAAAAAACCCATAATGTGTCAGGTTACATTCTCTTCAAGAGGAGCTATTCTGAGCTCCTTTTTTTTGGATGCTATTCATTTGATATAATCATATTGAACTATTGGATATTGACCTCACTGAAGTGAAATTGGTCACCTCTACATATTGATTATTAACTCCCAGGAGTCTTAAAAGTTCAATGCTTGATGCTTTCTATTCAGCTGAGATGAATTATTGCCTGCATTTGCTGTTTTTATTTGAGAGATAAATTTAAAAGTGGCGCTTTTATAATCAAACAAAACTGTTTGTGGTTTCTAATCTCTACACAGTAATAACTTGTTTTATTACATGCTGGTTTTTTATTGAACTCTGGTTTCTTATCCTGGCCAGGCATTGTTGGAGGTTTTGTGGGGTTTTTTAAATTTTTAATTTTGGGCATTTAAGGATTCTTCTGTGTTGTCAGTTATTTTAGATTAAAATGCAAAATGCTATGAAAGGAGTTTCAATCAACTTTATCAGATAAAAAACTTAAATGTGAGTTATGTTCACAGGCATTTATCCATGCCTCAATGTATTCATCAAGCATTAAGGAAATAACTTTCCATATTTTGTTCTACTGTGTTTGCATATTATTTGTTTATAAGACTCTTGATATTTTTTAAAATGTAGTCAAGAATAAAATATTATTTTCCACTTTAATAGTTCTCTCTGGGACGCATGAACCAGAGCGACTCCATCTTCAATGGTAACTGAGTAAAATGAGGCTGAGACCTGCTGGGCTGCATTCCCAGATGGTTAAAGCATTCTAAGTCACAGGGTGAGATAGGAAGTCAGCACAAAATACGGGTCATAAAGACCTTGCTGATAAAACAGGTTGCAGTAAAGAAGCTGGCCAAATCCAACAAAACCAAGATGGCGATGAGAGTAACCTCTGGTCGTCCTCACTGCTACCCTCCCATCAGCGCCATGACAGCTTAGAAATGCCATGGCAATGTCAGGAAGTTACCCTATATGGTCTAGAAAGGAGAGGAATGAATAATCCACCGCTTGTTTAGCATATCATCAAGAAATAACCATAAAAATGGGCAAACAGCAGCCCTTGGGGCTGTTCTGTCTGTGGAGTAGCCATTGTTTTATTCCTTTACTTTCCTAATAAACTTCCTTTAACTTTACTCTGTGGACTCGCCCTGAATTCTTTCTTGTGTGAGATCCAAGAATTCTCTCTTAGGGTCTGGATCGCGACCCCTTTCCTGTAACAGTTCATTTTTAAATAATCTTATTTGGTGTTGTTTGGTTTTGAGACGGAGTCCCGCTCTGTTGCCCAGGCTGGAGTGCGGTGGTGCGATCTCGGCTCACTGCAACCTTTGCCTCCCAGGTTCAAGCGATTCTCTTGCCTCGGTCTCCCGAGTACCTGGGGTTACAGGCACACACTACCATGCCCAGCTAATTTTTTTGTGTTTTTAGTAGAGATGGGGTTTTGCCATGTTGGCCAGACTGGTCCCAAACCCGTGACCTCAGGTGATCCGCTCACCTCAGCCTCCCAAAGTCCTGGGATTACAAGCATGAGCCACCATACCCGGCCTAAATAATCTCATTTGGAACATATACAATACTGTCATTGTCAAAATGCACATACTTTATATTCTCTATCCAATTAGGTAGTGTCTATTTGGAAATTAAATTATTGAAGTTTTGGGGTTTTTTTGTGACAGGTTAATGAATAAGTACAGTGGCTTTTGGGTGTTTCTTTTTCTTTTCCTGGTGACAGCTGATTTTGTCTTTACTATTTGTATTCGTTTGCTTTGGCTGCCATAACCAAGTACCACAAACGGCATGGTTTAAAAGCAGAAATTCATTGTCTCATGTTCTAGAGGCCGGAAGTCCCAGATCAAGGTGTCAGCAGGATTGGTTTTTTCTGAGGGCAGTTAGGGAAGGGTTTGTCTAAGGCCTCTCTCCTTGGCTCTTTTACCCCTGTGCTGCTTCACATCATCATCTCTCTAGGTATCTCTGTCTCTGTGTCCAAAGCTCCCCATTTCACAAGGATATCAGTTATCCGGGGTGAGGGCCCACCCTAATGACTGCATTTTAACTTGATTATCTCTTTAAAAACGCTGTCTCCAAATATGACCATTGAGGACTAAGCTCTGGTTTTTTTATCTTGCCAAAATTCGTATCTAGAGAGTTGGGGAGTCATGCCCTACTAACCATAAATTCTTATCAGATGGGTTTTATTTAACCCTACATATCCTGACTTACTTTCCAATCTGACTCTGGCATAACATTATGTGACAAAGAAGAAAATAAAAATCGTTTACCCCAAAACATGTTTCTTTGCTATATTTTGAAATGGCCCTGCACAGCCATCCTTTGTGGGTGAAAATGCGCATCTGTAAAGAATCTCTGCTAGCATAGCTAGATCTTTTTCTTTCACCACCCTCCCAATCCTGAGGAGATGAACTGAGTGTCTAGCACCTTGTATAGGTCTGAATAGGGAACATTTGTCATCTGTTGTCTCTAAGGACAGCCAGTATGACACTTCAAGAATCTTGGTCTCCACAATCTTTTATCTTAACCTGAGCATTTCCTTTCTATTAATCCCAGGTCTTAGACAAACTCAACCAATTGTCAACCAGAAAATGTTTAAATTTACCTAAAGCCTAGAAGACCCAGCTTCGAATTGTTCGAAGTTGAACAATTGAATTGAAGTTGAATTGTTGAACCGCCTTTGGACCAAACCAGTATATTTCTCAAATGTATTTGATTGATGTCTCATGCCTCCCTAAAATGCATGAAACCAAGCTGCGCCCCAACCACCTTGGACATATGTTCTCAGGACCTCCTGGGGGCTGTGTCACGACCGTGGTCACTCATATTTAGCTCAGAATAAATCTCTCCAAATATTTTACAGAGTTTCTCCTCTTTTTGTTAGGAGGTTAGGACTTCAACAAAAAAGTATTTGGTAAATTTGCCATATAAAATAACTAAAACTTCAATGATAATTTACTCAGTCTCCATATAAACAACATCAATCAAAAGTATGTGCGTGTCAAAGGTGATAGAATTGTCTGTCTTCCCAATGAGATGATTTACAAATTAACCATTATAGTGGAAAACAGTATTTCCTGGGCTATTTTTTAATACCATGAACCTTATAAACACATATGAAATAATATACAAACACAATAGAATGAAATATTTATTGTTACTCAAATGCCCAGAAACGGCATTGAGTTGTTTATGAATTTGTTCCTTCATTTTCCTCTCTTCATCTGTAGCCTCTACACCTTCACAGGGAGACACGTTCTGTTTATGAGCCAGTGTGTTTAAATGGCTCTCCAAGTCTTGATCCACACCCCTACCACAACACACACACACACACACACACACCACACACCCATTCCTCTCTTAAGGCTTGGGTTTCAACATCATGTTATTCTCCAGAAATGCACATTTACCACTGTTTCATTGTAAGGAATGGCAGAGGGGTCTGTTATTGTTAATCTTTTAAGAATGGACCCTGTTAAAACAAAAGCTGCTTTGAATTCGAAGATGCGTTAGGAATGAAAGGTACCTAACAAACCACCTCTTTGTCCTATTTGGTAGAGAATTCATGAAGGGAGGGTTCCACAGAGCACCAACCCCTATTGTGTCCTTCACTCATAAGGAGGGCATGTGCGGTGTGGAGGGTCTGTGTCATGTGATGGGACCCCCTCCAGTAGGTGTGGATCCTGGGACCTGTGTGGTCCTGTGTAATGGCTCTTGGAGTTTTGTTACAGGAAAGGGGTCCCGATCCAGACCCCAAGAGAGGGTTCTTGGATTTTGCACAAGAAAGATCCAGGGTGAGTCTGCAGGGCAAAGTAAAAGTAAGTTTATTAAGAAAGTAAAGTGGTGAAAGAACAGCTACTCCAGAGACAGAGTAGGTGTTCCCGAAAGTAAGAGGAGGAACGCATGTCCACCCTAGGTAACATGCATGCATGTGTGTGTGTGTGTGTGTGTGTGTGTGTGTGTGTGTATGAATGATTTTAAAAGACCATGGAGAGATGTGTTCTGCTACAAGGGTTTCTGATAAAGGATTAATTTTCTTAATTACTATATTTTGCAAGAATCAATATTATCTTTAAAGCAAAATTAGGAATGCCTTTGTTTTCCAGATATCGGGATATCAGGACACTCCCAAGTCTGGGTCTGTTTAGTCAACATTATCAGTCTGTTCCCGTAACTATAAGCATTTAGAGGCTAGGAATGCCTAGCTGCCTGGGAGTGCAGCCCAGCAGGTCCCAGCCTCATTTTCCTAGCCCTCACTCAAGATGGAGTCACTCTGGTTCGAACGCCTCTGAGGGTTTTGCCCTATAGAGTGTGGAGTCAGAGATTCCCTGTCCCATCTTGGGACTCTGGTCACCACATCTACAGCCTTCATGATTTTTGTCTCATTTTTCCTACCTTGTCCCAGGAGATCTATGGATTGGTGGGTAGCATCAAGAGGCACAGAATTCTCTTCTCATGTAGTTAAAGCTGGCTTGCTTTCTCAGCATGCCAAGAGAGGTATCAAAGATGGAGTGCTTATTTTCATAGGATGCACCATGCTGTAAAGACACAGTGACTCTTCCGTGAAACACTAAGGAAAAAAGAAGGGGAAATAAGGAATATAGGACTTGTTAGAGGAAAAAGGCTCCAGGTAGAGATGGATTGATTTTTATTATAAATTTGAACTTTTTAAAATCAAAATAACATTTTTAAAAAACATACAGCACATATATATGGCATATACATAGGACTTGTTCTTAGATTACTCATCTTAGAGGTGGCTTCTAGTGTCAGTTTTCTCATGGCAAATGACCTCATCCCACCCACCTCAGCTTCCCCATCTGCACAGCTCAAGTTTCAAACTAGATCATCTCTGAGGGTCGTCCCAGCAATGATTTCTAATCCTCAGTTCTTTATTTTTCTAGGAAACATATTTTATTGACATCAATTCATTATTTTTTTAATTCAATTTAATTCTTAAATTTGCCTCCCATCTGGATTTGCTTTATCGATTTTTTTAAGGCAATAGAAGACAATGATGACCCTGAATACAAATTGTTACGGGAAAATGGATCCAAGATAAAATTACCAGATCAACCTTTTTATTCCATATTTTATGGAATATCTAATGGATGTTTGGCAGTAACTTATTCTTACACACGAATTCCTGACAGTTTCGATTCTTCAGACTTATTAATCAGTGTAGTCAGCACCAGAGCAATTTTATGAGACTTAACAGTCATCAAAAATTTATTATCAGATAAATCAGAGAAACAACGAGCATCTTAATAGGTTAGAGAAAGTGGCATGTAAAGGATCATTTAAGATGGTGCTTTTTGTCAGTTGTGCGTTATATTTACAACCAATATCTAAGAACTTACTCATAATTTCATGCAAATAGTCAGCAGGGTGATAGTTGCTGTCTTAGGTCAACCTTTTCTCTTTGTTTTTCTCCAGCAGAATGTTGTGTTTGGTGTAACTATAAGGCTAAGACTGCTAAATAGACACACAATAGGAAGCATCATTTCCCAATGTTAAGCCTATAGCATTTATTTTAATGCAGTATCTCCATTTTCTTCTGGATTTTATTAGAGTTGTCATCCAAAATTAAGAGTTACTGAGCTCAGCCCTTTCCCTTGGGAACAAGGTGCTAAACTTGAGCTCTTTGTTTTGTTTTGTTGTTTCATTTTTTCCTGACATAGTTTGGATATCTGTCCGCACCCAAATCTCATGTTGAAATGCAATCCCCAGCATTGGAGGTGAGGCCTGGTGGGAGGTGTTTGGATCAGAAGGGAGATCCCTCATGAATGGCTTTTGCCGTCCTCTTGGTGATGAGTGAGCTCTTGCTCTGAGTTCACACAAGATCTGGTTGTTTAAAAGTGTGTGCCACCTCCCTCCCTCCCCTTCCCTTTCCTCTTGCTCCTGCTTTTGCCACGTGACATGCCTGCACCCCCTTCATCTTCTGCCATGTTTGTAAACTTCCTGAGGCCTCCCTAGAAGCAAGCAGATGCCAGCACTATGCTTCTTGTACAGCCTGAAGAACCATGAGCAAATTAAACTTCTTTTCTGTATAAATTGCCTAGCCTCAGGTATTTATAGCAACGCAAGAATGAACTAACACAGTCCTTGTTTTTTATTTTTCTTCTTCTTACTATTTTTTTAAACTTGAGCTCTTTGGAATGTCATGGGAAAATGGTATTCAGATTGCCTTTCTTATGTCCAGGCTTCACGTGTACATTCTGTCCTGAGACACAGGCCTGTGTCTGCTGTATTCTCGGCACTGTTTTTGATACCCCGTTAAAGGTGTAATAAGAGACCAGATTTCTTAAAAATCCGGTTTTTGGCTTTGTGCGATGTCTCACACCTGTAATCCCAGCACTTTGGGAGGCGAGGGCAGGCAGATCACTTGAGGTTAGGAGTTTGAAACCAGACTGGCCAACATGGTGAAACCCCATCTCTACTGAAAATACAAAAATTAGCCAGGCATGGTGGTGCACGTCTGTAATCCCAGGTACTCCGGAGGCTGAGGCTGGAGAATCGCTTGAACCTGGGAGGGAGAGATTGCGGTGAGCCAAGATTGTGCCACTGCACTCCAGCCTGGGCAACAGAGTGAGACTCTGTCTCATAAAAAAAAAAAAAAAAAAAAAAAAAAAACTTGAGTCTTTATTGTGCCAGATGAGGGGAGTTTTTCCATCACCGTATCTTTGCCCTGAGTGTTCCTGCATCACAGTATCCTCTAGGGCAGAAGGATGGTGATGGTGGGCCACGTGGGAGCTGAGCTGGCAATAGAGAGCCTTCAGACAGAGCTGCTGGGAATGGACCCAGAAAGACAAGGCCGGGTTACATCCCAGCAGAGATACAACCTGCTTTCCACCTCACGTCCACGTGTGCTGCCTTGTCTGTCTGGAATGCTCTTTCTTCACATCTTTACCTATTAAATGCCCAGTTATTCTTCAAGTGTCAGGTTAAATATCGCTTCCTCAGAGATCTTTTCTTGGAAGGTTTCCCTACTGCCCATCAACTCTAAGCTCCTTTTATCATCTTTCTTTAGGGCCTCTACTTTCATTAGTAGTAATTTTAATAATAACAGTGGCTATCACTTCTTTCCCAGGTGTCAGACATTGTATGCCTTGTATGTACTGTATGTAAGTTTCTCACTCAATATTTATTGGTGTGAATACTACCTGTATTTTAGTAGTTAAGTATGTGTTTTTTTCTCCTGTAAGAGACTGAAGTCTTTTTGAAAGCAAGATTCCTTCTTGACTGGGCTTTGCACATGACATCCCCAGTGTCTTATATAACTTCTGACAGGTCACCCTAATTTCTGAAAAGTAAGACCATTCTGGGGTCTGGAGTGTTCCAAGTTATACAGTTCATTGTTTTTGGTGGTAGGTAATAAAAAGTACTGGAAACATTAAAATGTGTTCTCACTATCTAATACTCAGCTTAGATTATGACTTCCCTATGGTGCTTCGTTATTTTTATAGATCTTTTTACCACATTACTCTTATGGTGCAAATGAAACATTTCCTTAACCAATAAACTAATTATGTTTGAAAGCAAGACTTTTTTTTTTTTAATTCAAATCTGAGGGATCTGTGATTCACTTGTCTGCCTTCTCTTTTTCCATGATGGAGTAGTCCATGGGGCATGTGGAATGCGTGATTGTGCTTGTAAGTGGATGGAATATTCCTGAAGGATAGGCAATAAACTAGTAATGTAGTAATGGTGGTTATCTCTAGGGAAAGAAACTGGATGGCAAGAGACAGGGAGGAGTGGGCACATCCTCTTCACTCTTTATCCTGTGGTACCTATTGAATGTCCTATTTTCACATGTATTCACTATTGAAAAGATTATTTCTTAAAAAAAGAAAATACTCCCCAGTAGGAAGTTTTTACTTCCCCATGAATGTATAAAGGAAGAAACCACAAAGAATGTGGCTTTGTAACTGGTTTTGTCTACACTATCTCCTATTTTCATTCATTTGAAGATTGTGTGGAAGTCCTCCTTTTTAGTCTCCCTTTGATCAGGTACACTAAAAATTTTCAAGGTGATATCACCTCGTAAAATGAGTCCCGAATCTTGGAAAGAGACAATTTGAAAGACAGCTTGAGAGAAGGTTTCTCGCTTAATGCATGGACCATCCCAATTCTTGGCTGAAGCATTGTGAAATCTTCCACTGTTTATAACACCTGTCAGATAACATTAGGCTTTCCTATGTTCTTGGAAGAATCTGTGGCAGTCTGTTTTTCCTTGAGAATCAAATGAGAAAAGATGGTCATTCATGAAGACCAACAAAAGAGAAGAATAAAGAAAAAGCAAGAAAATGGATTTCTACGTTGGGTTTGTTTTGTTTTGTTAGGGGTATTTTCCCACCTAAGACTTTAAGTGAGAGAAAAGCTTTTCTATTTTTGAAAGGGCATGAGGGTTTGAAATAAGGAAGAATGGATCTTGAAAGAATTGATTGTGTCTTAAAGGATGGAAATGCGCTTCGGATTCCTACAGTGAGACAAGGATTTTTTTTTTGTTTCTTTTCTCCTTAATTTTTTTAAGCTGTCAACTAAGATGACGTGTGTGTTTCAGACTGTTTATGTGGGATTATGAGCATGTTTAATCTGTTCTTGTGCATTCCCAATAGAAACTGCGTGAGTGGTGTGATCTTTTAATAGAATGTGTCTTGCAACTAACAAATGTATTTTGGTGCTAAATTCTGGATAATTCCTAAGAAATGTAAATGTTGTCAATAAAAGTTTTTGTTTTGAAATACTTATAATCTTGGAGCTATATTATTTTAAGTTTTCTGAAGACAGTCTCTGCTTCATTTTTCTAAGTTTAGTTGAGACAGGGCAACAAGAAAAAATACTGGCCATAAAGTAAAAATATTCTCTATAAATTTTTGGAACATGGTTAGAAGAGAACTGCAAATGGGGAAACAGCTCCTTGCAGGCCACTGTACACATGCATGATACAAGACGACTTGGGTTTACTCTGGTTTCAGTACTAAGAGTATTGAGTGGCTTTTACTAGAAAAATTCAGGACCTGCATTATAAAGTCAGCTACTCCCAACTTCCTACCCCCATTTTTATTTTCTTCATGTAGATTAGTGTGTGATACAGTTTGCCTCAATTACACTAAGGAGAGAGAATTGACATTTATTGACTTCTGTGTTCCTACCATGCACATCCAGGCCCTGGTGAATTCTTTACAGAATTCATCTCCTGTAGGTTCACAGTTTGCCTCTGCTTTCAGACGAGAAAACGGACAGTCATCGTTTAAGTAAAACAACTGAGGACAAAGCCAGAAATCAAGTTCTGGCCAGTTTAAAAGAACGTTGTCTCATTTTCCATGTTGCTTTGAGTAACATCTGGGAAGAAAATAAGAAAATGTTAAGTTTATGTTGATACCCTCAAAGGGAAGCCAGTGTATGAAGTTTAGGGGAATGTACATGATCATTTGACTTTTCTGGTTCTTGAATCAAATTCAGCTTCCTACAAGGCCTCATCCTCATACTAGGGTTGCAGGCACATGCGACATTCAAGGGTCCCTAACAGTATTCCTACTGCCAGCTCCTTAGTCCCTCAGGGCTAGCTTCCTGCAATTCACCCTGATTCTAATTTAGCAACCCCTTATCTGAGTGGTTCTGGTACAACAAGTACAAATCTATCTTTCTGCTAGATACACCCTCTGATTTTGGGATTAGGGATACTCAACCTGTATAACTGCAGCCCACAGTGGATATATAACACACATTTATACAGGTTGAGTATCCCTAATCCAAAAATCCCAAATCTGAAAGGCACCATATCTGAACCTTTTTGAGTGCTGACGTGACACTCAAAGGAAATGCTCATTGGA